>NC_000002.12:115065375-115368405 GCF_000001405.40 Homo sapiens
CCAGATGGACAACCAGGTGGCCTCTGCCTTGCTTACAATCATTAACTGTGAACCTGGAGGACTGCTACAACCAACCTTAGCAGAAGATCTGAGGATACAAAAGTTTAGGGCACCAGTTTCTTATGTTCTTTTTTTTCTTTATAATTCTTTTAATCTTCTCTTTATGTTTCAGGGATTCCTCAAAATTTGCAATTGGTTGATGGCACTCTTCATCTTTCTGATGTTCATTTAGAAGTGGTATGTGTGCGTGTGTATGTGTGTGTAGTGTGTATGTAGTCATTCTTACCAGTAGTGCACACCTCCCCCCCCAATTCTCTCCTCTATCCTACTTTGTTCTTTTGATTTTTTTCATTTCAAGGGATTTTGGAAAGTAGAAGAGTAAAATTGTATAGTCAATCTACACCCTTTGATACAATCTCCAGTGCACTAATTAATTTTACATTTTTATCATTGTTAGTTTTTATTGAAACACGCATGCCAAAAGAAAAAAAATCCACCCAAGAATAATTGAATTGGTGTATCTGAGTTTGGTAGATAATCCTTTAAATCTTAAATTGTGTTAATCTCAGCATTTGCAGAGCTATTGCCTGCTATCCTGTAGTGAACCCAGTTTCTAAATCAGAGCAATCCTTAATTAAAATGGGACATTAATCAACAGCAAACTATTTGCATCTACCATTATTCTAAATTGTGTGACTTGACAAGATCCACGTTATTGCCTAAGATAAACATTAAATATATAAACTTCATAAGGCAGAAGCTGTTTATCTTAGTCTTATCTAGAAAAGACATTACAAATAAGGATTCATTAACTTATTCATTTTATATATATGTATGTTTTTCACGTTATAGATACGTATATTATTCTTTGCCAATTATATTGTAATTATATGCTTTAGGATTAAATAACAGTTGTAATTTTTTGTCACACACATGCCTGCATGTGTAGGCACTTTATGCATATGAACACATTTATATTTCTTATTTATACATCAAGATTATGCAAAAAAATGAGAAAAAATAAAAATATGAAAATGCTTAATTCAGTTATTTGTGCAACCTAAATATAAAATTAGAGCATGCCTCCAGGATCTAATGGGAGTCTTAAGGGTCCATTAGATGGCACAATTGGTTTAAAATTATAATATCTCTCAAATTTTTAAAATTAAAATTTGCCTTCAATGTAAAGCAATGGTAACAACAAACTGTTAGAATAACATATGGCACTAACCAAATTGATTCTAAATGGCCACCTGTCCCTAATATCTATGATTTCCTCCACAGATAATTACTGGGAACCTGATGCTCAGTACTGTATTAGGCATTAAAAGGATGAAGATGACTAAGGGAACAAAATAACAGCTTAGAATAATTCTCTCCTTTTTAGAGTTTTTCCCTAACTTTGTCAAAGTATAATTAAAAAATAAAAATGTCTATATTTTCAGCATACAATGTGATGTTTTAATATACATCTTCATTGATTACCACAGTTGTGCTTATTAACATATCCATCACCTCACAGGTTTACATATTTTTTTTGTGGTGAGAACATTTAAGAATACTCTCTGAGTAAATGTTAAGTATACGGTACAGTATAATTAATGATAGGTATGGTCTATTGGATTTCCAAAACTAATTCATTCTGCATAACTGCAACTTTATGTCATTTTACCAATGTCTCCTCTTTTCCCTCACTCTCAAGACACTGGCAATCATCATTTTTCTCTCTGTTTCTATGAGTTTAAGTTTTTAAGATTGTATATGTGAGAGTATGCTGTATTTGTCTTTCTGTCCCTAGCTTATTTCCTTTAACATAATGTTTTCTATGGTCATCCATGTTGTTGCAAATGACAGAATGTCCTTTTTTTTGTTTGTTTGTTTTTGTTTTTGTTTTGAGACGGAGTCTGGCTCTGTCGCCCAGGCTGGAGTGCGGTGGCGCCATCTCTGCTCACTGCAAGCTCCGCCTCCCGGGTTCCCGCCATTCTCCTGCCTCAGCCTCCCGAGTAGCTGGGACTACAGGCGCCCGCCACCACGCCCGGCTAATTTTTTGTATTTTTTGATAGAGACGGGGTTTCACCGTGTTAGCCAGGATGGTTTCGATCTCCTGACCTCGTGATCCCCCCGCCTCGGCCTCCCAAAGTGCTGGGATCACAGGCGTGAGCCACCGCGCCCAGCCAGAATTTCCTCTTTTTAAAAAAAGAAAAATGGCCGGGCGCGGTGGCTCACGCCTTTGATCCCAACACTTTGGGAAGTCGAGGCAGGGGGATCACGAGGTCAGGAGATGGAGACCATCCTGGCTAACACGGTGAAACCCCGTCTCTACTAAAAATACAAAAAATTAGCCGGGCGTGGTGGCGGGCGCCTGTAGTCCCAGCTACTCGGGAGGCTGAGGCAGGAGAATGGCTGATCCCGGGAGGCGGAGCTTGCAGTGAGCTGAGATCCTGCAACTGCACTCCAGCCTGGGCGACACAGCAAGACTCTGTCTCAAAAAAAAAAAAAAAAAAAGAAAAAAAAGAAAAATATTCCTGTGTGGGTGTGTGGGGGTGTGTGGGGGTGTGTGTTTTTGTGTCTGTGTATTTTCTTTGTCTATTCATCTGTCTATGAAAACAGTTGATTCCGTATCTTGGCCATTGTGAATAATGCTGCAGTGAACACAGGAATGCAGATATCTCTTCAACATACTGATTTTATTTCCTTTGAATGTATACACAATATTGGGATTGCTGGATTATATGATAATTATTTTTAATTTTTTAAGAACCTCCATACTGTTTTTATAATAGCTGTAACAATTTACAATCCCACCAAGAATGTACACGGGTTTCCATTTTTTCACACCCTCACCAACACTGATTATCTTTTGTCTTTTTGATAATAGCCATTCTAGCCATTCTAACAGGTGTGAGGTTATTGTGGTTTTAATTTGCATTTCCCTGATGATTAGTAATGTTCAGCTTTTTTTTTTTCATGTACCTATTGGCCACTTATATGTCTTCTTTTGAGAACTGTCTCTTCCGATCCTTTGCCCATTTTTTAATTAGGTTATTTGTTTTTGCTGTTGAGATCTTTGAATTCCTTATATGTTTTGGATATTAATCTCTCATTGTATATATGGCTTGCAAACAATTTCTCCCATGTAGGTTGCCTCTTCATTATGCTAATTATTTCCTTTGTTATACAGAAGCTTTTTAGTTGATGCAATCCCATTTGTCTATTTTTGATTTTGTTGCCTTTGCTTTGGGGATCATATCCAAAAATTATTTGCCCAGACCAATGTCAAAAGGGGTTTTTTCCTATGTTGTCTTTCAATAATTTTATAGTTTCAGATGTTACATTGAAGTCTTTAATCTATTTTGGGTTGATTTATGTAGACAGTGTGAGATAAGGGTACAATTTCATTCTTCTGCATTTAGATAAGCAGTTTTCCCAACATCTTTATTGAAAAGACTTTCCCCATTGCATGTTCTTGTCATCTTTGTCGAAGATCTGTTGACAATAAATGTGTGGATTTATTTCTGGGCTCTCTATACAATTCCATTGGGCTGTATGTCTATTTTTATGCCAGTATCATGTTGTTTTTATTACTATAGCTTTGTAGTATATTTCAACATCTGGTAGTATGATGCCTTCATCATTGTTCTTGTCAGGATTACTTTTGACTGTTTGGAACTTTTGTGGTTTCATATGCTTTAGGATTTCTTTTGTATTTCTGTAAATAATACCATTGGATTTTTATGGGGCTTGCATTGATTCTGTATTTGTTTTGAATTTTTAACAATATAGATTCTTCCAATATATAAACATAGATTTTTTTGTTTATTTGTGTCTTCTTCAATTTCTTTCATCAATATTTTAAAGTTTAACTGTACAGATCTTTTATCTCCTTTGCTCAATCTATTCCTAAATCTGTTTTAAATGATACTGTGAATGGGATTGCTTCCCTATTTTCTTTTTTGGGTGTTTCATTGTTAGTGTATAGAAATGCCACAGATTTTTATATGTTTGTTTTGTATCCTGCAGTTATACACTGAAGTTGCTTATTAGTTCTAACACTTTTTCAATAGAGCCTTTAAAGTTTTTCCATATATACAGTCATGCCATCTGCAAAGAGACAATTTAACTTTTTCAGTCAAGATTGTAATGGATATCCTCCAGACTGTTCAGTTGTTTCCTTACAGAAATCACAGTTTTACCCTCAGTAATCTCAATACAATTACAAAGACAAATAAAAGGATCAGTATGTCTTTGATTTTGTTGGAAATACATTAACTCAGCTTTTACTCAGTTTAGCATAGTGGTAAGATGTACAGGTTTTGACATTAGACAGATCCAAATTCCAATTCTGCTTCCTCGAATCGCGTGCTGATGAATTTAGGCATGTTACTTAACCTCTCTGAGAATCTTTCCTTTCTTTTTTTTTTTAATTTGGTGAGTGAGCATAATAATCACAATAATCGAATAGGCTATTTTTCAGGTCTATCTATATATATATGTATACGTATATAATATTTATATGTATGTATAAAACATTTAGCGTAAAAGCATTCAATTGATTTTAATCTCCTTACCTGTAAGTGTTTATTTTGGTGTGTATTAACACATTGTGTGTATGTTTATATAGTGTCTGCATTTAAATAAAATAGATTTAAACTTAATAACCTGGAATGCTAGATTTATATCATCACAATTTATTAGGTTAAAATGTGGGTGCTCTAAAACAAACAAACACAATGCAACCCCTCAGGCTCATGAAAGTAAAATGAGAAATACATTATGTGGTGATAAGAGCTAATACTTCATGCAAATGTGACATTACACATCTCTTTGTGTTTAGGACTATGCTTGTCAGCTATGCAAATGCTAGCCATTATTTCTTAACACACTCTGGTCCTTAAATAGCACCAAGAGGAATGTTCTATATTTCACTCATTTAGTACATTATTGTATTGTAATTTTTAAATAAAACTAAAAAGAACTAGACCACATAACCATCTTTGATCAATGTTCAGAACAAATATATGGCAGAGAATTATTAAACAGTACCTCAAGCATGCTCTTTCCAGAGGGCAATGGATTATTTAGTACCATGTCAAATCACATAAACTAATTCAAAAATGATAAATTACAATGAAAATGCATGCTGATGTTTTGTCCCTGAATTCTAATAATGGGTGTAAAACAGTGTTAACTGTCATTGATCAGACACATTTATTGGCATGCTAACCTAACAATTACCATAGTATTGACTATCAAACAGCCATATGATTATAGTATATGATGTACTATATAGTATATGATTATAGAAAAGATATAGCATATGGGTTCATTTACTCTAGGAATACCAATTATAAATATAAGTAAGTGTAGAATACTAATTTGTTAATTAAATAAATATCATTTTAATTCACAACAGTTGACACTCTGGTTCTCCTTGACTCCCTGAGTTTTAAATAAGAAAATGTATTAACTAACTTAGAATTTTCTCAAATTTATTTATCATTGCACTTAGCCTTCACCTAATAAAAATGTTTATTTGGCTTTAGGCGTGAAATTTCCCAGATAGTCAAAAACAAATCTGCCAAATCAATGCCAATAATCTTCTAAGTATTTTGAATATTAATATTTATGAAGGACAAAAGGTTACTTTTGTAATGTTGCAATTAAATGTCTATTTTCTCTTCATAAATAGAAATTAATGAATCAATGTTTATGCAACTGACTGCTTGCCAATTAAACACTTATCTTAGGAATTCATAAACGTCCTTTCTCTTCAAAGAGTCAGCAATAGAAAATTCTTTCTTTTTTCTCTTTTTTATAACCTTTCTTCTACCTACTTTTTTCTTATTCTCCCTGCCTATTTCTTGTCATTCTCTTTGTTCTATACTCTTTTTTCTTTGCTCTACATCCTCCTCCACGTCCCATGCAGTGTATGGTGTTAACTCATACAAAGCAGTGCATGTAGAGACTATGTTATTAAAACCCCAGGGGTTTGGTCTAGGTTCCATTGCTCACTGCACAGAAAGCCAATCACTGAGACAATGAGTGTTGCCTGGGAAGAGAGATGGGAGCCAAAGCTCAAATCTATCCCTCTCACCCAAGCAACATTGGGGGTTTATATATCAGGGAAGGAATTTAGCTATGTACAGAAAGCAATCATGACAAATGAGGGTTCTGGCATCTGTCTGGATTCGGTGATCAGGTGAGTTTCTGTTCCTTCCTTGCCTGAAGGTTAATTTCCCTAGGGAGGAACTCAGAAGTGAGTTTCAAGTTTTAAGACCAGAAGGGGCAATTTCTATATTTATTTAAAAAAAAAAAAGTAAACATGAGCTCTACGGAGCATTTGGGCTTGTTTCAGCAGTAGGTGAGGGCGTGGCTGAGGCCTGGCAGGGAAGCGATGTTCACAATGCCTGATCACCTTAGTTTAAAACATTTAGAAGCTGAGAGGAAATTTCCTGGTCAATAATCTAGGCACCTCAAAAAAGTTTCCATTATTTTTTTTTCAAATACACAGATAATTTCTTGGCCAAATTTCTTGGCAATGACACTGAGGCAAGACCAGAAATGAATGGCTTGAAAGAATGAGAACAGCAAAGAAGAATTGTCCAGTTGTTCAAATGAGAGAATTTCAGCCCACAGTTGAGGTAATGATAGCAGATCTGGAAAAGACAGGGACGATAGAGGAAACTATAAAGAAGAGGGACACTGTAGAATTCAGCAATAGGTTGAAGAAAAGACAGAAATGAGTCACAGATTGGAAATGGAATAAATGCACATTGATGCCTTCCTTCCCCACTGTTTTTTTTAAAAAGCACATATATCACCTGATGGTTATCTGAACGAGAGCCCGACTGAAGAGGCTGACAATCAGACTAAGCCAAGCAGACAAGTAAAATAGCTATAGGGAACAGTCCTAGAAACAGGTTTTACAGTTTAGCATAGATATGTCTTTTTTCTTAAAAGAAACAATCTTGGCTTATATTTTATTCATAAAAGCTATTCTTTACTCTGTTGCCTTGAGTGATTTTGCCTATGTGTAGATGTGAGTACAGCAGCTTTAAATTCACCTGTGCCCTTGAAACAGCAGCCTGTAGTACATTCAACATCGTTGCACTGACTGCTGCTATTCTGCCTTCTTTGTGAGCCAATTATGAATCTATCTTCAGAAAATTGTGCTCCAGTGCTATTACTGAATTAACACTTTGCTTAAGTGTGTTAATTCACAGACACCCACATGTGTGCCTACATACAACCTCAGAGAAAATGTGTAAATAAGTTTAAGAGTAGCAAAAAGGCATGCTTTTTATGAAAAGCATTTAAAGTGTCTAAAATTTTCTATTTATCCTGTTAAGAGAGAAGGGTGCAGGGATTTATTAATATTGAATGAAATGATGTATATTGAATAGAAAATATATTTTCTTTTTTTTTGAGACAGAGTCTCAGTCTGTCACCCAGGCTGGAGTGCAGTGGTGTGATCTCAGCTCACTGCATCCTCCATCTCCTGGGTTCAAGCAATTCTCCTACCTCAGCCTCCCAAGTAGCTGGGTTTACAGGTGCCCACCACCATACCCAGCTAATTTTTGCATTTTTAGGAGAGATGGGGTTTCACCCTGTTGGCCAGGCTGGTCTCGAACTTCTAACCTCAGGTGATCCACCCACTTCAGCCTCCCAAAGTGCTGGGATTACAGGCTTGAGCCACTGCGCCCAGCCAGATTATATTTTCTTTAAGATAGAAATAGTAGGCATAATCTTCCTGATCTTCCTGATTTTGTCTTCCATGTTAAAGAACATTTATTGTCTGTCTAAAATTTAATGTTCATGTGTACATGGAATTTAAAGACAAAAGAATACATTCCGAAGAAAAACTTAACTTGTATTTCCAAGTCCTATCTTTACATCAGAACACCCTGTAGAGCTTTAAAAGTTCTAAAACCTGAATTCCACCTTGAGAAGTTATGTTTTTAAAATCCCCACTGGTCAATTGCATGCATAGCCAAAGTGGAGGATCCCTGTATTAGGGCCTGCCTGTCGCTAGGCGCAGGGGGTGGCAGCAGGGCACAGTGGAGGTGGGTGTGTGGTGGAAATCACTTCCAAACTTACCTAGCTCTAAGATGGGCTGTTAGAGGGCAGTTCCTTCTAAACTTTAAATCTGAAATCAACTGTTCAGTTTATGATTCTGTTACTGTATAACCCTGACCTTGAATTTATCTGGGTCACCTTTGCTTTGAGAAAACAGCCTGTCTAGAAGAGCAGGGATTTTGTAATCAGAGATTTGAACTGAAGTCTTGGCTCTGGCCATTTACTACTGAGATACTTAGGTAAATTACTGAATCTCTTGTAACATCTGTTTCCTCACTCTATAAAGTAGAGTGATTAAAAATATACTCAACAGTTCCAAGGCTGTTCAAGTTCAATGAAAGATAATCTGTGTAGGATTGAACACACAGGAAGTGCTCAGTGTGCGTTAATTTCTTTCTCCTTTACTGAATGGTAGCTTTTTTATACTCATTTGTGCTCCTTATAAAATAGGCAAAGTTAAGGGAAAGTGATTAAAATCACATGAGCCTGTTCTCTATTTGGCTGTATCTCTGTAAAGAGTGAGAAGAAGGTTGGCTGTTTTAATTTTTAAGACAGAAAAATGATTTTTTGATTTTGTTTTGATAGAGTCTTGCTCTGTTTTCCTGGCTGGAGTGCAGTGGTGCAATCATAGCTCAGTATAACCTTGAACTCCTGGATTCAAATGATCCTCCTGCCTTAGCTTCCCTAGTCGCTTGGACTACAGGCACACAATACCATACCCAGATAACTTTTTTAAAATTTTTTTTCAGAAATAAGGAATCTGCCCAGGCTGGTCTCAAACTCCTGACCTCAAGCAATCCTCCTGCCTCAACCTCCCAAAGTGCTGGGACTACAGGTGTAACTACCAAAAACGGCAGGGAAATGATTTTTTTAAACACACATAGCAAAATGTTTTTGTCTTAATATGTGATGCCCAACTTAAAATAGTTACCTTTAAGAGCTGAGAGGTTATTCCAAAGATGCTGCACTGAAAAAAACATTCATAGCCACACGTATGAAATTGTCTTCCAGAATTTAGGGTACGTGAAGCAGGATGGAAATGCAATCGCAAGGTCCTAGGGATACAAACCTGGGACAAACAAGCAAGTTTCCTGACTCTATAGAATTTACCTTTCAGAGGTAGACAGATGTTGATCAAGTGCTCCTACAGAAAACTAGGACATGTAAAATAACTAAGGATGGGAGGGGAGCAAATGTAGAAAATGGTAAACCATTTCGAAGGTAATGAGGGTTGTCCGGGGAAAGAGATGATGACACCCTGGACTAGGTTTGGGTGCTGGAGTCAACTTATGTAAATTATTTAGGAGGGAGAGCCAACAGGATTTGCATATCATGGGGATTTCTGCATGTATTATTTTAGAGGTGAAATCAATGGGACTTGAAAGAGAAGCTTATATGTGATATATCTGACTTGAGCAACCAGATGAACCATGCTGCTAGTCAATAAAATTGGCAGGATTAAATAAATCTCTTATATGAGGTAGAAGACCACATCTTGAATACATTGAGTTTGAGATGCCTTTGGACCATCCAAGATGAAATGTCGGATAAGCAGCAGGAGCGATGCCTTGGTCCCACAGACAAGAGAGTGAGAAGCAGTTATACGTGGGTCATGGTATAAATCATATGATGGCCAGTGAAGCCATGAGTGTGGGAGGTCATATTCAGTGAAAGCTCAGAGTGAGAAGAGTGCCTTTACACAAGTTTTTATTAAGGACTTCCTGTGATAGCATTGACTGCTGATCACATTGGTGTTTGCATAAAATAGCATAATCTAATCCACAAATTCTCTTTCTTAGAAGTTGTTTAGAAGTAAAAGCAAAGCTGCTCTTCAATAAATGTCTCTTGCACATACTCAGCAATCCTAGAAGAGAAGCCAAAAGATACAATCAGTATGTAAAGGTACGATCAGTGTGTAAAGATACAGTCAGTGTGTAAAGATAGGTCAGTGCTTAGAATGATCGAGGGGAAGTCCCAGATGAAAAATGTTGAAGGTTGTCTGGCCATGTCAGTTTCAAACCCAAATGAATCCTGAGATTTTTATGCCCTATAGAAATAGTTACTCATTAAGATTTTATCAAAATAGTCTCCTTGAAAAAATAATTCTCATGTTTGTCAGCTGCAGTGTGTAATCTAAAATTTAATTAGAGATTTTAAATATCTCTTGAATCTCTGATAGCAGTTTTCAAGACATTTGAGGCTTATTAGCTCAGCCCATTTTACTGCAGGGAAGAATGAGATAGCAATGGTGAACTTTTTTTTTTTTTTTAATGTTAGGCAACTCCTTTTATTCCATAATGAGAAAACACCTGCTTTTTAATTAAAATTCTATTTCTGTATACCTTTGTTTGAGTAGTTGAATCCTAAATATTCAGGGGCAGTGAGTCCATTTAAAACTCATAACAAGTAAAACTTCTTAAATTTAATTGTACCCTTCAGGTTCAAAAGTGCTTTGGTAATTTGGGTTCTAAACAGAATGTGGGAAGCAATTAAGGGAGGCTGCTATTGTGAATCATGCATCACACTCAGAATCGAAAGACGTGGGTTTTCATTCACCCTGTGCTACACACAGGATATGTTTATGAGCTGAGCTCTGTGGAAGCAGAGACATTTCTTAACCTCCCAATCTCCACATCTACCTTATAAAGATTTGGTAGGTTTTGTTGTTTCTGTTGTTGTTGAAGTTTTAAAGTTTATGGTGAAATATATGTCAGACATTCAGGTAAGAATAAAATATTATAAAAAGTATTATAATAAACATTAGGTTTCTTTAAGCTAACATTAGGAAGTAATTACTTCAGTTTATTTTTTAAGGAATTAAATGCTATAAACACAATTGAGATCCTTTTTCTACCTTTCTCCCATATCATTTCCTTCCCTCCTCCTCCACTATACATACAATTAGGAATTCAGTGCACATAAAAATATTTTTTTTTAGACTGAAGGACTCCTAGATCCTTATCTATGACTATAGAGAAACAGATCAGAGAGTGTGCTAAATCTATAGGTGCTGGCCCTGTATATGTCAAAAGGATAATAATTTCTATAAATGTATTCTGTACTTTTGTTACATAATTATGTATTGATAAGTATATGTAATTTTTTGCACTATGTGTTAACGTTTATCGAAATAGCACTACGTGTACATTACACTACATGTAACATTGAACCTCTTGCTTTTTTACTCAATATTTTTTTGAGTTTTCTCTATGTTGGTAAAGGTTACTAATTCATTCCAAGTTCTACATCATATTATTCCATTTACAAATGTAGCATAATATAGTCTTCCATATTCCTGCTGATGGATGTTAGATTGTTTATAATGTTAAATTGTTCATTATAAATAATGAAGTAATGAGCATTACTGCTCTTGAACATGCCTTGTGTTCATATGTGAGAGTTTTATACACAGGATATTTCTTTCTTGCTGTAGACTAAAATTGTTCACTTTTACTATCACACTGCTATATTGTTTTCCAAAGTGGTTGTACAAATTTACACTTCCAATAGCAGTGTATGAGAGTCTTATTTTTCCATATTTCTGCAAATATCTAGTTTTTCCTTTTTTGTATGTGTGCCTGAATTTATCTCAGACTTTCATAGCTAAATTTTTGGGGCCACCTCTACTGTCACTACTAACATCTCCATGAATGCCACCATCTCCCTGATTCTTTCCATGCGAGCATTGTATATAGGTGCAATGGAATGGGCCAAGTGCTATTTGTAATCATGGCAGCTGTCGTCTAATATATAACTCTATATAATCAAAATAACATGAGTAAAATCTTTAATCTGTCTTATTCATTCATTATATGTTAGTTAAATGTTGGCACTAAGAATAATTATAATTCTGATTTAATAATTAAAAAGATAAAAGAATTATATAATTTTTTATGAGAACACACCAGATTCACCATGAACTTCAAAGAGGGATACATAAAATTCTGCCCTTGTGTGGATCAAATACATGACATCTAACCTCACCGGAAAACTGGAAAATTAGTCAAAATAGCAAATAATTATGTAGCTTCTTCCATCCCCTCTTTGACATTCCCTAATTTCACATAATTCTAGAATTAAAAGGAATACAGTAACAACCTTGCCTAAGTTTCTTATTTAAAATTCAGGAAGAATATTCTCAAATTATGAATCCTAAAGAGGTGAAATGCCTTGATAAAGTCACATAACAACAGATTTTCACCTTTAACTTCTTTTTCCTGATTTTTGGCAGCCTGAGACCCTGCAGTGCAGTGTTCTGCCAAAACACGTGGGCCTGTTGCCCTCAAGAACAGCCCAAGCCATCAAGATTTCCCTGACTCACTTGTTTACTCTAACATCTCACCTCCTTTTTCTGTAATATTTCAGGACTTTCCTCCTTGCTAACCAATCTAATAAGCTAATGAGCCAGCACTGGCAGAGGTTTAATGTTCTATCCATTCTCAATAATATTGCCCAAGAGGGAAATTTTTCAGCCAGTTTCTGTTGAAGCCTCTCAAAATATTACTCTACAACTATCAACCTAATCTTCTCAAATGTAGGCAGAAAAACAAAAATCACTTCAGTCTTTTCTATTTTAATTTACTGAGGTACACTAAAGAAAACTTCTCTATCATTATCCACCTCATAAAGGCCTGAGACAATCACACTCATCACTTAAATTCAGACATAAGCATGGCACGCTAATGAAACTAAGGCAAATATGAAGGTAACAGTTTATTTTTAATGCCTATTAAATATTGTTAAATTAAAATGAAACATTTAAGAAAATATATGTGACATTCAAATGAACACCAAATGATTCATTTCACACTAGTCAATATTAAATTAACTCCATATTACATGAAAATGTTAAATACTACTGAAATAAGCAGCAAAAGAAAATTATACTGTAACCTCACAAACACATCATGGTTGGAAATTTGTTATTCAAAAAAGATTAAGACTAATTTTGTAAAACTGTTTTAAAGTCAATTATTTTTAAAAAGAATTACGAGAAAATATCATCACATCAGTGGTTCCATTATATGTTTTAAATTAATGAACTAATGAAACCCACTAAAATGTAGGCAGGTGTAAACAAATTGCTGTTTGTATAACGCAATACTTAGTAAAGATTATTTAAGTAGTATGCTAAAATCTAAACAATACGTAGAGTCTATAAAGGATAACTTTTAGAATTACGTTTCAAAATTAAAGTTGAAATAATAAACTGAAGAAATTGCTAACCTAATCAATTCTGAGTTTGCAATATACAACACGGGATTGGTCACCTGATATCAATATGTAAGTTGTTTCAAAGTGCAAACTTGATTTTAAAAAGTTTCTTTGGTCTTCATATTAAAGACATATTTAAGTATCACAGATAAATTACTCAAGTTATCAGTTAAATTGCTCAAAGAGTAACACCATAATTACTATACAATAATATTTTGATTATTTTGACCTCTATAATCATGCTGAAGAGATATTTATAGGTTCTTGATTAATGGGCAATTTTTTGATTTAGATTAATTCTATGATAAACTTAAGGTTATCAAGTCTTATTTTTTCTTCAATAATTTAACATTCACACACAGACACACACACTTGAGTCCACGCTTGAGTGCCCACTCTACACCGTGCTGGGACTCAGAAATAAGAAATCCTCGGCCGGGCGCGGTGGCTCACGCCTGTAATCCCAGCACTTTGGGGCGCTGAGGCGGGTGGATCGTGAGGTCAGGAGATCGAGACCATCCTGGCTAACGCGGTGAAACCCCGTCTCTACTAAAAACACAAAACATTAGCCGGACGTGGTGGCGGGCACCTGTAATCCAAGCTACTCAGGAGGCTGAGGCAGGAGGATGGCGTGAACCCGGGAGGCGGAGCTTGCAGTGAGCTGCACTCCAGCCTGGGCGACAGAGCCAGACTCCGTCTCAAAAAACAAAAAAAAAGAAAAAAAGAAAATCCTTAAAAAAATCAGAGATTAACGGGGATGACAGACAAACTAGGACACAGTGTTGCCTGCTATGCATGGGAACGTTAGCAGAACACTCTGGGAGGCCCAGAGGAACAGTGTATATTGGATTTGGGGTGGCATCACTTTCTCAGGGGAGTGTTGTGTGGATTGAGTCTTCAGGGACTAGTACTTGCCAGCTAGACAAATTGGTGCATACTGGGGCTGGAGAAGCAGCCCATGGGACCACAGGAAAAGCAGCAGCAGCTGGTGCACTGCACTCTGGAAACTATACTACCCAAGGTCAGTCATGAGATGAGCTTGATGAAGTGAGAGAGAAGTGTCTAGAGGAAGGGTCAGTACTAAATCGCAAAGGCCTCACATCATGATGAGTGACTGCAGCTTGATGAACAGATAGAGAAGTCTGCAAAAAAAGGTCAACAGAGAAATGGCGTTATCAGATTGATTTTCCAGAAAGCTCCTACTAGTTGCCTCATTGTTGTTGAATATTTCCTACAATTGGAAACATTAAGGGCACATAAGGAGAGGCTTTGTGATGATGGCCCAAGGCTTTACCTGGGATTGACCATAGAAGGAAGGGTCAGAGGCTATGCTATATTTATGGCTAACAGCCTTGTATATCTTTTTTTTTAGATGGAGTCTTGCTCTTATAGCCAAGGCTGGAATGCAGTGGTGCCATCTTGGCTCACTGCAACCTCTGCCTCCGGGGTTCAAGCGATTCTCCTGCCTCAGCCTTCCAAGTAGCTGGGATTACAGGCACCCATCACCAAGCCTGGCTAATTTCTGTGTTCTTAGTAGAGACAGGGTTTCACTATATTGGCCAGGCTGATCGTGAACTCCTGACCTTAAGTGATCAGCCCACCTTGAACTCCCAAAGTCCTGGGATTACAGGCATGATCCACCGTGCCTGGCCACCCTGTATATCTTAAACTAGAACAATAAAGTGAAGGATGTAACTTTTTTTTGTTTGGTTATTTCTTCCTTGTAAGCTTGGACACAAACTAAAATGGCTCATGAGTACAGCTGGAAGTTAACTCAAGTTAGAGGTCTGCAAATTATGGCCCCTGGACTACACCTAGTCCACTATCTTATTCTGTAAATAGAGTTTTGTCGGAAACAACCCAGTCACATTAAAACCAAAGCTTATTCTTCTATGAATTGTCTGTGGCTGATTTTGTACAACAGCAGAAAATCACAAAAGAGACCATAAGGCATGCAAAGAAGAAAATACAGTCTAGCCCCATATAGATAAAGCTTGCCAACCCTTCATTTAAGAGATCACTCAGTGCAGATCGTGTATTTTTTCCCACATATTTCCATCTTTTTTGCTCTTTATTGTTTCTTACACCTTAGATGCACCTGGAATCATTTTCTCTCTGTCTACAGTTCATCTCTTAGAATGACTTTAGTGAAAGTTGTCACAAAGACCCCTCTCAACATTGTTGCTCTGAAAAAGTCCGTTTTTATCAGCATTCCTGAAATGTTCTCTAGATTATAATCATTCTCTTTTAGTGCATTAAAGAGATTATTCCACTATTGACTGTCTGACTTTGTTGCTGTTGAGAAGTTAGCCATCAGTCAAATTCTTGCTCCTTTGAGGGTGATATTTTGTTGCTGTTCTTCACCTGTGGCCTTTCTTAAGATTTTTTTCTCAGTCTTTTTTTCCCCCAGCAGTTTCAATGTAACATATTTAGTTGCAGATTTCTTTTTAATTATCTTGCATGGGATTTGTGAGCTTCTTGAATCTGCAGATTACTGTCTTTCAGATCTAGAAAATTGTCAATCACAATCTTTTCAGATATATCAGCTGTCCTCCAGTCTCTCCTCTCCATCTGGGACTCGGATTACATTTCCTAAATCTTGTGTTGGTGTCATTCATGGTTAGTAATCTCTCTCATGTATAGTCCATCATGGGTCTTTTAAAATTAAACTCAAGATAATTGTTTGCAAGCTATCTTCTCAGATACAAAGTCTGTCTTTAGCTGTCTTCAGTTTGTTGTTAAGTCTGCTCACAGAGATCTTAATTTCTATGATATATTTTTCCAGAAGATTTTTTAAACCTTCTATGTCTGTTTCTATGGTTCCCTGTCCTCTGCAGATATCTTTTAGTTGGTCCTTCATTTATTTACACCTTTCAGTGTAGTTGTTTTATAATCAGTATCTAATTACTTATTAATAAATATCTGATGTCTTTACCTTTTGCTGTGGTTCCGTTTTCCATTTCTGTCCTTTTCTACTTGTTCTCATAGTCTAGCACCTTGTTGTCATTTTTGACATGATGAATATTCTTTTTGAAAAAAAAAATTTAGAACTAATTGACAAACATTTTTCAAAGAGAATGTTCATTGCTGCATCAAGTTCAAGACGTGGTACAGAAAATACATGACTAATTCTACCGAGGTTCTACCACTTCCATTCACCCTTTGCCTGAGGGCAAACTCTTTAGGGTCTCAGTTTATCAAGAAGGAGTCTTATTAGACTTCCAATTTTAGGTGAATTCTGCATTAGATTTTGATTCCATTCCCAGAAGGCCTCTGCTAGGAAATCAAATACCTTCAGGGAAAAATCCGCTTTTGTACCAAGATAAATTTCCAAGTTTTCATTATTCCTTCTTTTCAGGCCTCAAAATGTCTTATTGTCTTGTTGTCTGTGTGATGCTTTTAAGAAATTATTTTGTAATATTTTTATCAGCTTTTTTAGTTGTTTTCAACAGGCCAGAATGTCCCTGTAAGCAGACCCTCCCATTACTATAAACAGTAAGCCTTCTGAACAGGCATTTTAACAGTAAGAGTATTAGGTTAAGTAAGGTCTTAAATAAAAACCTTCCTGCTAAGGTCTTTGCTTCCTCTGCTGCCTTTGTGAGCCAAGGGGAGGTTTCTCACTCTTTAAAACTCCTGTGGGCTTAAAGGAAGGTAGCCAGGCTTCGTGCTCTTTTAGCTCCAAACTGGTACAAAGTCTGTGTTAAAATAGCCAGTCGAGGCCATTTTTGTCTACATGGAACTATGGTTATGGCATGTAACCAGAATGCTAAAAACTCTTTGCTGGTAACATTGTAGACTGCAAAAATGGCAACTTGGCAGCTTTTTGAAAAATGATGTGGAGTCGATTTCTTCACCCTTTCATTCTGGACTGCTTTGCATATTACTTGGTTAATACAATGCTACAGAAAGGATGTTGGATATAATCTGAGTAGTCTCAAGAATTTTGAGGTATATCCACTCTTACTTTTGGAACTCTGTGAACTTCACATCTAATAAATTACTGGACGATTTGAGTCCATATGGAAAGGTGCCCTACTCATTCCAGCCAGTGAACCTACCAGCTAACTACAGATGCATGAGCAATCTCTCTTTAGATCAACTGAGAGGAACCAGTGTGGCCCAGACTAGAACCACTCAGTGAAATTCACACCAGATTGCCAACCTAGGAATTCGTGAGCTAAATAACTGGTTATTGTTTTAAGCTACTAAATGTAGAAGAGGTTAGGTTTGCAGAAAAACTCAACACCTAGAGCTATATTACTTTATTTAAATTGTTCTTCTTAAAATTAAATCTCTCTCAGTTATCAAATCAATGAGCATTTTTCAGTCCTTATCTAATGAGACTATTTTACAGTATCTGACAGTATTGATTATTCGTAAACAATCTATACTCTTTTAGTGTCTATGACACTGGATCTTTGTGCTTCTGCTGGAATTTCTGTACTATTCATTCTTCATTTCCCTTGTAGATTTTATTTCTTCTTGTTTTCCTTATAAGTATCAGCATTTGTTAGGTTTCCGTCTTTTTCTTATGTTTCCATCCACAAACTCTCCCTGTTGGATCTCCTCCACTTTTTTTTCTATTTCAATGACCACTTTGTATAAAGATATAAATTATGTCTTTATGCAAAGCCTCTTCCTGCATTAAAGTCCTGAATATATAATCTGACAGTTAGGTAATAGTCAGATATATGTCCCGAGGCCCTATGCTTCAACATATCCCAAAGTATGTAACTGCGTTCTTCTCTGCCATCTGCTGGCTGGCTATTCCTCTATTTCACATAGTATCACAACTAGTCACCCAGCAACCTACTAGAGAAACCTGGCATAACACATGCCTCCCTCCTCATTATATTTGTGTCCACTCTGTTTCTCTCGCACTGCTCTAGTTTAGGCCTTCCTTCTCTCTCTTTTGAAACATTATGATCGTTTCTTGACTAGTATCCTTAGCTGTAGTTTGTTTCTCTTATATCTATTCTAAACTTAGCTGTCAAAAAAGTTATTAAACAACAACTTTCAGAGCATTTGCTACAGTGAATTTGGCAAATAATAAACATATTTGCTACCACAATTTTTGTCTCTGCCTCTGAAAGTTATCACTAAGTGATTTCTGCAAGATTTTCATGGTAGCATCCAACTACACAGCCAGCCATTGCTATTGGATAGGAGATAGCTTTAAACCTGAAATCTGTTTGCCTTAGGATTGTCAAAGATTAACAAAGCGGGACAGTAGTTAACATGGCAGGGATATATTTTAATCAGTAATATACTACTGCAATAAGGAAGAGGATCTAGTTCTATCACAAACACCTCTTCTAACATCCAGGTTAGTTTTCTTTCAGGTGTCTTTGTATGAAACATCTAGAGTGGGTTAGGGGCTATACCTTTGTGATCCTGTCAAACCTATATGACATCCTATCAATATGAATACGAAACCTATATGAATCCCTATTAATATACCTGCTCACAATTTTGAGGTTTTCTGATGATATTTCTATTTATTTCACTTGGACTCTGTGAAGTCAAGTACTGTATCTTAAATATTTTTATATCCCCATCATTTAGCACAGTACGTGACAATTAAAATCAGTCAGTGATTTTAAAATTTAACAACAACAAAAACACATAATAATGCGCTGACCTCCTACAACTCTAATAGTGCTTGTGGGCTCAACATTATCTGAAAATTGTTCATTTAGCCAGAATTATGATTTCAAAATAACTAAGGACTATAGGCAACTCATTCTATTGCCTCAGGGAAACGTCCAAGGTGTCCTACTTTTGTGGACATGTGTCATCTGACAAAAGGTTGTCAAGTTCACTGTTCTTTCCAGTTCTGCCTGGTACTATGATTGCAGTGCCTAAGCAGCTTGAATTTCCTGGGCAAGTGTGCACCATGCTGTAATAATTCAGAAGCTGTTTTTGTGTTCTTGAAACATATGGTGCTAGCTCAGATTTATCTTGGGAAAAGCTGGTCAGGAAGAGAAACTGCTGAAGAGCTGAAATCTCTCCCAGCAGCTAAGAAAACAACGGAGGGACACTGGCGTCCTTCCTCCGAGAGCTCAGGCTCTCCGCCAGTTTGTGGTCCATATGCTGAATCCAGAGAGCTGCTTCACTTCTAATAACGATTGTGTTAAGTTGTGTGAGGCTGATATTCCTCCAGAGGGCTCACAGTTTCAAGCATACCTAAAAGCACCTGTTAGGAAGCAGAGCCTCAGAAAAATGCATTAGCATTTCTAGGAAAAGGGCTTATTTTTATTCTTCTTGGTTACAGAGTTGCAAGTTGGCTTGTTCAGAAAGAGCTGTTTTTGCACCACACTGATGTTCAGTTTGGTGCAACATTTAAGTCTGGGAAGAGCACAGAGCCAAATGTGGCAAGAGATGGCAATAGAGAAAATGCCAAGTGCCCCCTGGCTTATCTCTTGTAGAAGAATTTGTAGCAAGGCTTAGACCACCTGAAATGAATAGCATTCTGCAGTTCTGTCTGAATTTCACTCTGTGATTTATTATTTCATTATACTAGACTGAATTTGAACCAACAAATAGTTCACCCAGGGAATAAAATATACCTTTACTTTACAGATCCTTTCCCTTCCCTTCCCATATCTTTTTCTTCTTTCTGTCCCACCTCCACCAATGTGTGTATGTGTATGTGTGAGCACGTGTGTGTGTGTGTACTCACATCCATTCTAATTACTGGAAACCTACCTTTGCTGGAGCAGGTTAAATATTGCCTCTTAAATATTAGTATGTTTAGAAAGCCCATTCCTATAATAAAAGTGGTCATTTCTACCCAGTTGTTCCCAAATTTCAATAAATTAATCTGAATAAATGAGTTTATAGATATTACACTTAGAAAATGCATAGTTAAAAGGAAACATTTTAATAAAATAACACTTTTGAAAAAGCCAAATTTCAAACTGGAAAATCAGAAGCAGGTAGTGGCCAGTGCCACTAGAACATGTTAGGAAATCTCAAAGTTTCCCCTCCCCCTTTAAAAAACAGTGTTCCTCAGAAAAAGTATACATATCTCATTTAACTCAGCCTTTTTAGCCCAGTCCTATTATAGTGCTGTTTGTTCCAAACTGTTTTATAAAATATGTTTATGCTAAAATATGTAATATTACCTTCCACTAAATAAATAAATATATTGTACACACATCACATACATATGTGCCATCACCAACTCCTATATGAGGACTAAAGCTCTGATTTTTTATCTTGGCCAAATTCCTACCTAAGGGGTGTCGGGAGTCATGCCCTGCAAACCACAAATTCTCATCAGGTGGGTACCCTATATATCGTGACTTACTTTCCAATCTGACTCTGGCATAACATTATGAGACAAGGAAGAAAATCAAAATATTTCACCCCAAAACATGTTTTTCTGCCATGTCTTGGAATGGCCCTACAAAGCCATCCTTTGTTGGGAAAGATCTGCATCTGTAAAGAATCTCTGTTAACATAGCTAGATCTTTTTCTTTCAGGCCCTCCCAATTCTGAAGAGATTAACTAAAAGTCTAGCACCTTTTAAAGATCTGAATAGGAAACATTTGTCATCTATTGTCTCTAACTGCAGCCACTATAAGATTTCAAAAGAACTTTGGTCTCTACGATCTTTTATCTTAACCCGAATATTTCTTTTCTATCCATCTCAGGTCTTTAGACAAACTCAACCCATTGTCAACCAGAAAATGTTTAAATTTACCCATAGCCTGGAAGCCACCCCCCAACCCCTCCCTGCTTAGAGAGTTGTCCTGCCTTTCTGAACCAAATCAATGTATTTCTTTTTTTTTTTTTTTTTTTTGTGACGGAGTCTCCCAGGCTGTCACCCAGGCTGGAGTGTAGTGGCGCCATCTCGGCTCACTGCAAGCTCCGCCTTCCGGGTTCACACCATTCTCCTGCCTCAGCCTCCCCAGTAGCTGGGACTACAGGCGCCCACCACTATGCCTGGCTAATTTTTTGTATTTTTAGTAGAGACAGGGTTTCACCGTGTTATCCAGGAAGGTCTCGATCTCCTGACCTCATGACCTGCTCGCCTCGGCCTCCCAAAGTGCTGGGATTAGGGCGTGAGCCACCGTGCCCAGCCAAATCAATGTATTTCTTAAATGTATTTAATTGATGTCTCCTGCCTCCCTAAAATATATAAAACCAAGTTGTACCCCAATAACCTTGGGCACATGTCAGGACCTCCTGAGAGCTGTGTCATGGGCCGTGGTCACTCATATTTGTCTCAGAATAAATCTCTTCAAATATTTTACAGGGCTTGACTATTTTCGTCAACATATACTATAATATCTTCCAAAATGTGGTCTTAACTCACGAGAGCAAACAGTGCAGAGTGTGTGATATTTTCTAATTCCATGAGTATTAGCTGGTTGCAAAACAAGCATTCTCAGCCCATGGCACTGTGTATTCCAAGTCGAGCGTATTCTTTAATGTGTTTTTATTTTGCTTCACTCTCTCATGTTACCATTTATCTCATCTTATGGTAAAGCAGTTTTGATCCATAATGGTATTTTTAAAAGCTAAATTTTCCAAACTGAAACACCTAGCTGAGTAGGCCGCGAGTTAAAAGAGTAGTGTGGCAATGGCTGTAGATTCCTTCAAGGAAGTGGTTGAAGGAAGGGATGGATTTTAGGGATTGGTTGAAGTCCTTTAATATTTTCTTCAGCATAAAAAACTGACTAAATCAATTAGTACAAATACTTTCCAGAGCAGTGGTCCTTAAACTCTAGCATGCATCAGAATCACATGGCAGGTGACTGAAACCACAGATTGCTGGCCCCACCTTTAGGGTTTCTATTTAGGAAGTCAAGGTCGTGACCTGAGACTATGTCTTTCTTTTTCTTTCTTTCTTTTCTTTTCTTTTCTTTTTTTTTTTTTTTTTTGACAGAGTTTCACTCTTGTTGCCCAGGCTAGAGTTGCACAGGCTGGAGTGCAATTGGCCCAATCTCGGCTCACCGCAACCTCTGCCTCCCGGGTTCAAGCGATTCTCCTGCCTCAGCCTCTCGAGTAGCTGGGATTACAGGCATGCATCACCACGCCCAGCTAATTTTGTATTTTTAGTAGAGATGGGGGTTTCTCCATGTTGGTCAGTCTGGTCTCAAACTCATGACCTCAGGTCATCTGCCCACCTCGGCCTCCCAAAGTGCTGGGATTACAGGCATGAGTCACCGCACCCAGCCAACTCTGCCTTTCTAACAAGTTCTCAAGTTATGCAGATGCTGTCAGGTGGTGTCTTGGTTGATTTGAGCCGCTGTAACAAAATACCATAGACTTGGTGGCTTATAAACACAGACCTTTATTTTTCACAGTTCTAGAGGCTGGGAAGCCTGGGAAGTTTAAGATGAAGGCTCCAGAAAATTCAGTGTCTGGGGAGAGCCCTCTTCTTGGTTTATAGATGGTGCTTTTTAGCTGTGTCCTCACACGGTGGAAGGAGAGACCTAGCTTTCTCCAGCCTCTTTTATAAGGGCACTAATCCCATTCATGAGGGCTCCACTCTCATGACCTAATCACCTCCTAAAGGCCTTGCCTCCTAACACCATCACCTTGGGTGTTAGAATTTCCATATATAAATTGTTAAGGGACACAAACATTCAGACCATAGCAGCAGGAGGGAACACACTTTGATAGCTGTTCTTCTAGAGAAATGTCTATAGTGCTTTTCAGTCTGGATTTCATAAGGGTTACTATGGTATTATCTGAGAAAAACAAAAATGGTGCTACCTAGCTAACTTCCACAGAAAAAAATCAAAAACAACTTTTCTTTTTTTCTTTTATTTTCTCCTTTTTCTTTGAGAGACGGGGTCTTGCTGGGTCACCCAGGCTAGAATGCAGTGGCCTGATCATGGCTCACAGCAGCCTTGACCTCCTGGGATCAAGGGATCCTCCCACCTCAGCCTCAGCTGGGAATACACATGGGCATCACCATGCCTGATTGATTTTTTTAAAATTATCTGTAGAGACAGGATCTCACTGTGTTGCCCAGGCTGGTCTCAAATTCCTGGCCTCAAGCAACCCTCCTACCTTGGCCTCCCAAAGTGCCGGGATTAGGATTACAGCTGTGAGCCACTGTGCCTGACAAAAAAAAAAAAAAAAAAACCAAAAAACAAAAAAAACCTTAAAACTAAACAATTTTTTAAAAAATATAATGAATTTATATTAATTTTATGTTTCTTTTCCACTGAGAAATTAGGAAAATGTTTAGTGAACTTTTAGCCACATTTAACTAGGAAAAAAACTTCTTAATTTTGGCCTGAATTCCTGGCTACAGCTGACTGACCATCCCTTGACTTCCACAACCTTTATTGCCATCCCAGGTTGGCCCCTCATCCTCAGAGTAACATCCTGGAGAGCTGTCATCATCCAAGCTTGCCTCATATCTTCTGTCCTAAATTTTTATGCGCCACCTTCTGCCCGCAAACTTCTTGACATCTTCAGCCTGATTTCCTCTTTTCCTTTTTTTTCCTCTTTTATCCATTTCTCAGTTCATTCTCTTCTGCTTTCATTGTTTTTCTGAACATACCTAGACCTCATGGTCAATCATCGCATTGATCATTTCTTTCTAATATTAGAAATGTCCTGACTTTCTTGCCATTATTCTTACACACAGTCAGAATAATCCAATCTAATCATTCTTTTCTCTTTGACTTCCACATAACAATCATTGCTAGGAAAATTAATGGTTAGACTGCCATTGGAATTTCCAACTGCAAAATGTCCTGTCTCCAAGACTAGATGAGCAGTAATTGGACATATCCCTAATGAGCACTCTGCCGTTTTCCACAATGTTTATTTCGGATTGTCATCACTGAAGTCCCTTTCTCACTACCCTCTCTATCACACTTTGGAAAAAGATCTTTCCTCCCATACTGTACAAATAAAATAATAATAATAGCCACCAATCATTTTTTCCCTTCAACTTTCTTCACCCTTCCCTATCCTGCTACTTGCGGATTCACTCATCTGTGCCTCATTGTTTCCTGCTTCAGAAGAACACAAGAGCAGAATCAAGAGCCAGCACAAACATAGTTTTGGAAAAGTGCCCGATTTTACTTTCCATATTTTATCACCAGTGTAGTGTATGAAAAAGTAGGGAACATTTAAAAGTTCAGAAACAAGGGCTGATCCATTGCAGTCTGCACTTTCATGTTCCATGAAAACCAAAAAATCAAAAAACTCACTCTATTGAAATCATCTCTTTCCTGGTTTATCTCTTAAACTAGGAAATAGTTGGTTCCTAGGAAATAGTTGGTTAAACTAGGAATAGTTTGGTTCCCTGTGACTCTTGCCTTTCATATCTATGTCTACAGCAACTCAGTATCTAGTACATCACAGGGACTGCCCAGTAAATGATTCAGTGGGTCATTCCTTTTTTTTTTTTCATGTCTAATTTTTGTTGATCCTCACTTTGTGATCCACAATTATTCCCTTTTATTTTTCTCTTCTTGAGTGTCACATTTGTGTTATGTTTTATTTGCTTATCTATTTTGACAAATGTTCACATCTTTTTAAAATATACATATGTATGAGACATAAAAGTGCAAAGAAGAATTCTACTCAACCAGAAGTAACCCTTGCTAGTGTGCATTTATCATACGACATTCTGGACAAGGCTCTGTGCATATTTAAAATGTGTAGTCCCTGGGTATTCTTCTGGTTTCTTTCTGTTATTACCTCTCTTAATGGGGTGGGAAGGAGTAGATAAAATTCTACCTAGAGTAGCTATTTGAAGATGATGCTTCAAATATTATCCCCAAGTGGTGAGGGTTTTGTCAGGGATTTGGGGAGGGGGGTGAGGGGACTTGCACTTGCCTCGGGACAGTCTAAAATTCCAATTTAGGTTTGTCATCTCAAATACACTCTCACAAGTCTGCTACGTTCTCCAACTTAGGGGCATTGCTCTGTTTAGAGTTTGGTTTTTGTAAAAGTTAAAGAAAGAGGAAAGAAACACAAAAAGTGGCTTAACAGTCAAAGACAGGTTTATTTTGGAGAACAAACCTGAGAGGGGTTTCTGGACGATTTTTTTGGTGAGGAGCACTCTCTCTTACGGTCTAAGAGTATTTATTGGTGAGAGAGGTTGGAAAGTTTCTGTGTTGGGGAGAAGTTTATGGTGGGGTTGGAATGTCTCTGGTTAGAGGGCAGGTTATCTGGGGTCTGACATCTCTCTGGCCGGAGGGGAGGGTTATCTCAGGGCTGGCATGTCTCTGGTCAGGAAGGGGTTTGGAATGTTTCTGGTCGGAGATGTCATTTGTGGTTTATGGTCATGCTGACCTTAGCCATTAGGCTGATACCGTTTAGATTTAGGTGGTTTTTGATCAAGGTGAACTTTAAAATGGCAGTGCTCATCCAAGATGGCAATGCTCCTGCTCTGTCAGTTTTCAGGGTGGGATTGTGACTCACAACAATGTTCTGTGATATAAAGAGATGGCCATTGCTTTCCCACCCTCCTCATTCTCTTATATCCAACCATCTCCCTGTGCTAAGAAGCCAGATCAAGGCAACACCAATGGCCCTCCAGCAAGGTTCCACTGTACGACTTCCTCTCCTGTTCTACCTTGTGGATTTGCATCTAAACCTTGTCTGGCTCCCTTCATCCCTCAGACCACTTTCACACTTCTAAACTTCATCCACATTTTCCACAGAGTCATCACATTGTCTTTTCAGATTCATTCACTCACTTTTAGATAAGTCTGTACTTGTCTGAAGTCTGAGGACATAAATATCAGCTTTAATCATCCTCCATGATTTTGATCCAAATTTGAGTATGTGATGGAGATCATTTGAGTTTTAGGTTTGAAGTTAGTTTTTTTGTTTTTTTGTTTTCCACCACATAGGAAAAGTTACACTCTCCTCGCCTTCTCCCCCCTCAACCCCAACATGTGTCTATATGTTTAGTGACACTTAAGGGAAAAAAGTAGAAGAAAAATGGCCTAGTGCTGCTATTTTTCATTGGCCGTCCGTCCTACCAATTTACTTTGAAATTTGTTTGAAGAATGATGTACTGAAGAGGAAAGATGAACAACAGCAAAAAGTCCCTTGTTAGTTATGCTTTGCTCACGGAAGACCCTCATTTTGGTGTCCTATGACCTGCAGTTCAGTTCCGTTTCTCTCCTCTGAGTGTCCATGTTTAGCCCACCTGCCTCTGCATTGGGCTTTATAGCCTATTTGTTGTTGAGTAGTGAGGATTACATCTTGTTAGAAATGTAAGCTGAAAATAGTCACAGTGGAGCTCTAGAATCAACTTTCTTGGCAAAAGTGCTAAATAGTCATCTTGACTCTGGTAAGCCAGGGATACTATTACTACTAATAACCATTGCGGCCTACTGAGTGCACACACCGTGCCAGGTAGTCTGCTAAGGGCTTCAGTGCATTTTAATCTTTTCACCAGCCCAGGACTCTGTTGTTTTTTGTTTTTTTCTTAAGTAAAGAATTTTTAAAATAAAGAAACTGAACCTCAGAAAGCTTAGATAATTTGTGCTAGTTCATCACACTAATAAGTGGTAGACTCTCTCTGTTTGACTCCAATGACTATATTCTTGAACACTATCCAAATGAATACCAAATAACTCACTTTGCAAACATTTCATGTCCATTATCACCTCATTAATTTGTTCATTTTATTGCTCATTTCCAGAATGCTCTTGCCACTCCTTTTATCATAAAACATCCCATCCATTCTTAAAGAGCCAGCTTATATCTAATCTTGTATCTTATCCTTCCCCTAATTATCCAGCATAAAATAGTGTTTCTGCCTCTGTTCCCCATAAGCGTGTCTGTTTTAACACTTATTTTTAATATATCAGTTAATGTTAGACATCTATCACCTTTCGGTCTCAGAGTTGTACCAGTTCCCATCTCCTACTGTATCTGGTAAAGGACAGCTTTTTGTTTTGATTTTCAGAACTTGATTTCAATATATATATATGAAAAGAGGGGACAAGATAAAATAAAAAAAGTAACATTTGATATAATAATGTCTAAGTCAAATTCTAGGATTTACTAGGTGTGTTATATTAGAAAATGCAACAGGGATCACTAAACCTCAATATTGTCTTCTGAAGAAATTATCTTCATAATAAAACTACTTGTTTTACCTTTGATTGAGTTTTTAAGAGAAAAGCAAATACAATAATAAGTGATGAAGTATTATAACTCATAATGTGCTATGTTACTGTATTTTGTCGTTGCTGATAAAAATAGTTGATTGATGACTTTTTAAGTGACTTTTAGGCAGTCTAGAGTGAGCAGTAAAAGAAATTAAAGCTGAAACAGTGAACCTAAAATTCTGTTGTAGAAGTTGTTAATAACTGTCTTTTCTTCAGCAGAAGTTACCTAGTTCTACATTGCCTCTGGCTTTTTGCCACCCATTAAGATAAAAAGCTAGAAGATAGGAACTAGGAAATAGTAGAGATAAGGTGAAAGTCTAGCTTGAACTCAGTGAAGCAAACCAAAATAAGCAAAGATCCCTCACTTGGAGATGTGGTAGAAGACTTGTGTGAATTATTACAGTGACTAACTACACAGAGGAATAAAGTTATACATATAAAGTTAAAAGATATGTAATATGAGTGCTCCTGTTGAATCAGCCAACATGAATTCAGTCATATAGTCACAACAGTGTGCATCATAAAACAGTATCATAAATAGCAATGAGTTATAAATGGAATTGACCAATATACTTAGTGAGACCAATATACTTGGTGAGAAACTACACTGTGTTATTACTTTGTACAATTATAAAAGATAATTGCCCAATATAAATAATAACTAAAATTTAAGAAGAAATTTTCTATTTTTAATCTAGATTATAAAATGAATGATAGTTATGTAAAGTTTATCTATTTTTCTTTGGAAGGAAACCAAATCTGGAGACATAATAATAATTTGGTATCATGTAATGCCTAGGAAATAGTACATATCTAATAAATATTTGTTGAGTGAATAAATGAATGACAGCCACTGTAATAAGTTAAAAAGTTTTTGTAGGTAAAAGACAAGGCTGAAACAATGATTCTGACTCATAAGTGGTGGGCCATTAATTATATACATATATGCAGAGACACACACATAAACTTTAAGAAAATAAAATTTTAGGAAAATAGATAAAATGTCAACTAGTATTTTATTGTTCTGCTAAATGAATTTGTTGTCATTCATGACAGTGTAATGATTCCATCTTGTGTCTTTGTGTAGGCACATGTGTGAACCACTTTAATCCCCCTCTTTTTAATTTTCTAACATTAAAAAAACTATTTTTTTGTGTCCATGAGACATACAGTTTCAAAATTATTTTATGAAATTGAATGGATAGTATAGGAATTAATGTCATGTATATCACAGTGTGATTCCTTTTAAAACTGAATGAGAGGAAGTTAAGGCATGCCTACTGGTTTTCAGGGGCATCTAGTAACTTTGAGTTATTAAGTAATGAAATGTGAGTGACGGAGTTCAAGTTCCTATTAAACATAAGGAGAAAAACATTCATATAGTAGGTTTAATCACTGTTACTTTACACTTTGATGTGCAAATTAAAATCGAGAACGTGTCATTTAAGTAGGCTTAAGAGTTATTCAGAGGTAGAAATATGACAGCAGCTGACCTTTATTGTTATATTTTACTGCAACAAAAGCTCTGTGGATGTTACGCAGTTTCTAGTGTGAATTGTCTGAAGGTGATAAAAGAATTCAAATATCTGGACTGAGGTATATATTTTAGGAGATAGAAAAATCACTTTCTTACCTTCGGCAAACTTTCTCATTGATCACAAGAGTCAAAGGGCAATCTTCAATCCTCTAACTTACATCACATGGTAAACTACTTCCTTTGCAATCCATAAAATGAAAGGTACAGGTGATATTCTGCAAATACAATAAGAAGATTCTGTTGGGTTACGAGCGTCTTGTCTGATTAATTTTTACATTCCCTGGACCTAAAATAATACCTGTTTTGAAACAGTAGCTCCATGAGTATTTACCGAGGTCAGCAGAATTTCATTAACTGAATTTAAATGTAGTAATTGAATTACCCACACAAGTAATTTAGTTTGAGTAGTTTTACTTAGCTAATAGTGGCAAGCATAACATTAAAATGGGCAAAGAAATAAGCATACCAGAGTTCTGCAAGCATTTTCTATAAACAGCCAGATAATAAGTATTTTAACTTACGAGGGTTTAAAAATAAAATTAAGGATATTATGTAGGTGCATACATAACAATTTAAAATGTAACAATTTAAAAACAAAACAAAACTATTTGTAACTCACAAGCCATACAAAAACAGACAACTGGCACTTTGGCTAGTGGGCTACAGTTTGCCCTTCCCTGAAACAGATTTTTGTGCAATAAATTCAAAGATTTTGTTCCCGTAGTTGACCTAAATAATTCTGTAGATTTGGTCCTCCATGATGCAAATTTACATAGACAAGGTGATTAGACAGATGATGGATTGAAATCAATTTCTTGTGAGTTAAATTAAACAATTGAAATGAATTGTTTTATTATGCCTTTGTCTCTGCATATAAGTTAGCAAATTCTGGGAGCCAAGTGGAAAATGTGGATAAAAGGATTTAAGCATGTCTGGAGCCCCTAGGGAGAATGGCATCTTTGGAAGAAAAAAGTTAGTGGAGTTCAAAGTGTGCCTTAGAAAAGGATAGATTTAGATAGAAGATCTCATCCCTGGTAACAGGAGGAAGGTCATATGCAGATGGGCTTTGGGAGGAGTGTGAGGGTGAGTTAGTTGGAGCAGGTGAGGGCAGTGGAGCTCACTCTACTAACCTGGCAGAACACTGTGGTCCTCAAGGCCTGATGTAAGTGCATTTAGCTCTGGGAGACATTAGACACAAGTAAGATCTATTCAGGAAAATGTTATTACTTGTTCCCAAAAGGAATTCTGCAATTCTGTTTGGTTTTTTTTTTGTTTTTTTTTTTTGATACGGAGTCTCACTCTGTCTCCCAGGCTGGAATGCAGTGGCACTATCTTGGCTCACTGCAACCTCTACCACTTGGGTTCAAACAGAAATTCTGCACTTCTAACTGAACAAAATATGCAATTAAATACACATGAGCAATGGAAATAAATTAACTTTAGTCAATTCATTTCTGTAGTTAAATAACAGTAGTTTATGGAAAATTAGTATTGCCTTATCAAAGGAGCCAAAAGCCATTTTCAAGACTGTAAAACATTTTATATGTAGTAGTATTAAGTGGTGTAATAGTAAAATTTAAAAGAAAAACAAACAAACAAAAAGAAGATGAGCAAGCCTCTTGATCTTTCTGAATTTTAGCTTCTTCATGGGTAGGGTGAAGATGTGTTACTTAATGTTTGCCAATGTCTTATCTATCTTTACAATGCCAAGAAGTCATAAAATTTTTATGTTAAATATCTAAAGTATAAAATTACTCTCCAAACTACCCAAGGTACACATGTATGTACTCATGCAACACTTAGACCCATAGTTCCCAAACTATGTGTCAAAGTGCCTTAGGGAGCTTTAGGCTTGTGGGTCATACAATTTCTTACAAAATAACTCAACTCTGTAGCCCTAAAGCAGACGTAAATAATATGCAAACACATGAGCATAGCTGTGTTTTGACAAAGCTTTATTTTCAAAAAGAAGTGGCCAACACCCAAGCTGTACTTCACTGAACTCTGGTATACAGTATATACATATATATTTATATATGCACATTAAATATATGCGTTGATATGCGTTCAAGCAATGTACAAATATATGAAGTTTCCTAATTGATGAATAAAATGATAAACACATAAATACTTAAGTGAAGAATGGAGAGAAGGAAGACAGTAGGTAGATTAGAGATAGCCTGAGTCAAAAGGAATAAAAGCCACTAGTCAGGGAAAAGAGCTTAATACATTCATATACATATACACATACATATACACACAGATGCTCCTCAATTTTACAATAGGGTTTTATCCCAATAAACCCCTCATAATTTGAACATATGATGGGCTTATCAGGAGAGAACCCCATCATAAATCAAGAAGTATACTAAATGCATACACTTTTGTACCATTTTAAAGTTGGCAAATATATGTTGAACCTTCCTAAGTTGGAAAATGGTCTATCTATACATGTATGTACTTGTATATTTGTTCTCTGTTCCTCTATGAAATATTGATGACAAATTTGTTATTTATTTGTCGTAACAGTTCGTCTCAGATGTGATAGATACACAGTGTGTATGATTATGAAACTTGTAAAAAGTTTTAAGAATAAATAAATCAATAAACATCCATTTCAATCCTGATAGTAATGAAGTTTAAACTCATTTCCTTGGTACTGTCTCTTAAAAATAGTAATAAAAGGTTTTGCTTGAGCAGAATGACTGCCTAATGTAGACATTACACTCTTGTGAAAATAACCACTTTGATAATACAAAGATAGCCAGTCTGGTAGAGATTAAACTGAGACAGCTAAGCACCTGTGTTGCAGACATTCAGTTGGCCATGTTATCAAGACCCAAGATATTGTAACAAATAAATAAAGTCATAGTAGTAATAATAATAAAGCTAATCAGGCCAACAGAATGCCCCCCAAATTTATTTCCACTTAATAAATGCTCTTCTAACCTCATATTAAAAATTGTGTCTCTGATTCCAGTTAAAGACCAAATTTTAAAAATACAGAGACTCCAAATCTGATTCTGTATTGAATTCTAATGTGAAGATCTTTGCTGGAATGCTTCAAAGGAGATTAGAAATATTGATTATCATTTAAGTACTCTTAGATCACCAAAATCTCACTAATGAAGAATTTCTTTATATCATGACTGTGATTGGCTAGTTAACAAACTATAAAATGAACATGTAATACATTAATCCCTCAATAACATGACCTGGAATCCCTACATTCTAAAAATATCTCTTTGTTTTCTGCCTGTATTTGACAGAAATACGGCATTAATGAAATGTTCAGTTCTTGCTTAAAGTACATACCGGCATAATTTTTCAAGGAATGTAGGGCTTCAACACTTCTTAAAAGTCAAGTTTGACTCTTCCTAGGATAGAATATAGAGGTATGATTAGGTAACCTTAAGTGAGAGAGAGATTGCACGTAGAAAATAAAGCTTATTCTGCCACCTAGAACAGTTTTTTGAATAGTCCTTGTTATGTCTGAATCTTGTCACTCAGGTCTCAGTTGAAATACTAGCTTTCTACAGAGATCACTTTTTGATCACTGTTTTAGGAAGGGGTCTTTAGAAATTAGATTTTGGGACAGAAATGGGTATGTAGGAAGCTTACTGGAAATTGCCTTGGAATTAACACCTGTAGTGGGGTGAAGGAACCTGGACTGGCAGAGAAATGTAGTCAAAATTAAGGCCACAGCAGATTCATCTTTTTCACCAGGAGCTCTGGTGCTGGAATGCATCTGTAGAATTATTCCAACTTTCCCCAGAGGAGTAGGCATTCATGTCCCCATATCAGTCAGCCATTGGATGAGGGATGGGTGCACACGCATGGTTGTCTTACCTCTCCTTGGCTGAGGACAATTCCCAGAGCAAGGCTCTGACTGAGAGCTTTCAGCCAAAAACACTCCCAGAAGTTGGGGGAGTAACAGCTTCAGTCCTAATGAGAGAAATAGATGGTTTAAAATGGCATCTGCAACATTCTACTCCCTGCACTATTCAGATACTTGTGATTCATATACAGTCATGCATCCCTTACCAACAGGGATACATTCTGAGAAATGGGTCCTTATATGATTTCATCATTGTACGAACATCATAGAGCATACTTACGGAAACCTAGACTGTATAGCCTACTACACACCTAGGGTATATGGTATAGTCTACTGCTCCTGGGCTACAAACCTGTACGACATGTTATTGTATTGAATATTGTAGTCAATTGTCACACAATGGTATTTGTGAATCTAAACATTAAAAAAAAGGTACAGTAAAAATTCAGTACTATAATCTTACGGCACCACCATTGTATAGGCGGCCCATCATTTATCAAAACGTCATTATGCGGTGCATGAGTGTATTAAGTTCTGGAATCAGCTCCTCTAGAATCCCTGGAAAAACACAAAAAGGACAGTAAATGAGACAAACTACAGCCCATGCACTATAGCTAGTCAGAAGTCATAAATGATATTCATTGTTTCTCTCTTCCATTATGATTTCTAGATTCACCTTTAACTAGTGCTTCTGAAGATCTGGGTAGCTACTAAATGCAGAATGTCATATCTGCAGGGTCTGGGTTCTTAGTCATCATAAACTTCTCAGGCCTTACCTGTTTCTCTTGTCCAGTTACCACAAAAATTTAGCAACAGAGAACAAAGAGATGCCTCAAGAATCACCAGGTTTAGGCCAGGCACAGTGGCTCATGCCTGTAATCCTAGCACTTTGGGAGGCCAAGGCGGGCGGATCACTTGAGGTCAGGAGTTCAAAACCAGCCTGGCCAAGATGGCAAAACCCCATCTCTGCTAAAAATACAAAAAAAAAAAAAAAAGAAAAAAAGAAAAGAAAAATAGCTGGACGTGGTGGTGGGTGCCTGTAATCCCAGCTACTCAGGAGGCTGAGGCAGGAGAATCACTTGAACCCAGGAGGCGGAGGTTGCTGCGAGCCAAGGTTGTGCCACTGCACTCCAGCATGGGCGACAGAACAAGACTCCATCTAAACAACAACAAAGAATCACCAGGTTTATTATATGGGGGCCATGCAAATTCTTCCTTGTCCCCATTGTGAAACAGCAGCCATACTTTCTCCCGGTGATCAAGGTAGCATCTCCAGGATGACTATCACTTTATTTGTCTCCTGGAGAACTGGTATGAGAAGGTCCAAGTGACAAGGTAGCAGCTATAGCTTAAATGTTAATGGGGCTTTTGTGGCCCCTCAAGGTCAAGGACCTTTAAACCTCTAGAACCAAGAACTGTAAGGACAGAAAGCATAGATTCCTAGGAGTTCAAGGCAGTGAGCTATGAGTCACTGGAAGTAATGATACACAGAGCCATTACTTAGCTCACATATTCATGTATTATACTGTTGAGGATGTACTCATACACAATGGTCCCTCATGTAGAGTGCATGCTGTCTCCTGGAGGATGGGTCCCCTCAGTGTGTTATTTCCAAGATGGTGTCTCTGTTGTGCCTTTACAAGGATCTTCTTTTGCTCTGTAAGGCTGGCAGCTTCTGAGTGTTGTAGGGTGTGACAGAGCCAGTGGATCCCATGGATATCTGCCACATCTCCTTTGCTGCAGTGTGAATTACTTGGTTCAATAAGATCTAACATATGACATAAATGTTGATGTAGTAAGCAGTCTTTAGTCCATTGTACAATGGTTCTGACAGAGACCCTGTGAGTAGAAAAGGCAAATCTATTCTTGGTTATATGGATGATGCCACTCAAGATGAATTTCTGCTCTTTCCAGAGTGAAAAATATTTAATACAATGAACGTGCCACCAAGTGGCTGGTTGGTCTTCTGAAAAGATGATGTCATATGGGAGGTAGAGAACTTGTCTCTGTTGGCTGCATGCAGTGGTTCACACCTGTAATCCAAGCACTTTGGGAGGCCAAGGCAAGAGGATCACTTGACATGAGTTCGAGGCCAGCCTGGGCAACAGGGCAACAAAGATCCTGTCTCTATAAACACCCTTAAAGAAATTGGCCATGCATGGTGGCACATGCCTGTAGTCCTAGCTACTTGGGAGGCTGAGGTGGGAGGATTGCTTGAACCCAGGAGTTTGAGGCTGCAGTGAGTTATAATCTTGCCACAGGACTTTAGCCGCTGAGTGACAGAATGTGACCACGTCTAAATTAAAAAACACACACACACACACACACATATGAAATATATATAAAGGAATATATAAGAATTATATATATACACACATATATTTGTATATACGTATGTGTGTATGTACATGTGTGTGTGTATGTGTGTGTGTGTGTATATATGTATCAATTGGTCTCTGTTATTGGCAGCTTAGGTATCCAAAGTGGCGGTAACTAAGATGGCATATGAAATATGCTGACTGACATGAACTGGCTAACTTAACTTGGATGATCACTGCCTCTTTTAAGTTGCTCTTGGGGGAGTATTAACCTGTGACACAAAGATGTTCACAAATTATGATCATTCCCATAGATCCATCCACATATCTAATTTCCATATCTCCTTTTTCTCAGTCATAATGTTTATCCTTCCAGGCCCCTGAACAATTAGTCAATTCACCACAGTCCATGAGTCTGTAAACATCCTTATCTTGGGCCACTTTTCTTTCCACACCAAATGGAAAACTGCATCACTTGCAGCTCTCACCACTGGGAGAACTTATTCTTACAGTTGTTTTTTAGGGTCACTTTTAGTTTTTACCCACATGCTGAGCCAACTCCCCTGTGAACCAAGCTCAGTCACTTTCCTGCTCGGCCCACCAGTCATATTTGTCCTCATCACGCAGCCACAGGTATGTGCTGTGGGAGGGATTTTGATGTAATAGTGATGGATGACATGGAGTCTGGGCTACCTGATTACACATCATAGTTGTGCCCTCTATTTCTGCTCTTGCTCAATCCCAGGTGTGCAATTCCATCTTTTGATGGATTTCTTCTGCACCTACCCCACCTTATGGCTGGATGAGACTCTCAGAAATTCATGATGGAAATATCTGGTTACAAAATCACTTGATATCTCGTGGTTGGCTGACACATATCTCCTAATAACTGCTTTTGGTATATAGTATAATTCTCCAGTGAGGTGGCATGATCTTGGACCAGAACTCTAGGGGTGTACATTGTGATTCTCCTGTCAGAGTTTGCCATAAACTCTGCATTCTTTCCTACCACTGATATATGTAATAATATGTTATCTTTTGGATCATACGGCCCAAGTAGGGAAGCCACTTTCTCCTACACCCCCTACGAAGCATTTTTCCTCACTAGTTTTCACTGAAAACAGGCAGCCTTTGCTGTCACACACTAATGGGTAGAATGAGTATTCTCAAGTGTGAAACATGCTGTCTTTAGAATCCAAAGTAGTGCTGCACTTTGTCTTTTAATTTGATTGGATTGTTTCAACATGCCAAAGATAACTGGACTCCTAAAAACATCACTGCTGTGGTTGGCCCTTAAATCTTCATGGGGTTTATTTACACTTTCTAGGCCACACATGTTTTTCCAAGGCCTCTAACGCACTTGCAACGTCTTGCTACTCTAGTTCAGTTAATACGAGGTTATCAATACAGTGGACCAATTTGCAAAATATTTGGGTACCTGAACCAATTCTGCAAATTAGTTACATGGTCCAGATTTCTTCTGACTAATTATGAATAGGAGAAATGAGGAAGTTAACATAGAGTTACATAAAAAAGTAAACGTACAGTGGGAAGTATTAGTCTGCTAGGGCTGCTATAACAAAATATTATAAACTGAGTGACTTACACAACAGACATTTATTTTCTCACAGTTCCGGAGGCTGGAGAGTCCAAGATCAAGATATTGGTTCCTGGTGAGGGCTTCCTTCCTGGCTTGCAGACAGCTGCCTTCTCACTGTGTCCTCACAGGGCAGAGAGAGTGATAGAGAGCTCTGGTCCCTCTTTCTCTTCTTTCACTCACAGGGGCTCCAACCCTCATGACCATATATAAACCTAATTACCTCTCAAAGGCCTCACCTCCAAATACCATCATTTTTAGGGTTAGAGTTTCAAAATATGAATTTGGGGGAACATTAACATTCAGTTAATAACATGGGGGAGGGGTTTTTTGTTTGTTTGTTTGTTTGTTTGTTTGTTTTTGAGATAGGGTCTCACTCTGTCGCCCAGTCTGGAGTGCAGTGATGTAAACTTGGCTCACTGCAACCTCCACCTCCCAAGTTTAAGTGATTCTCCTGCCTCAGCCTCCCAAGTAGCTGGGACTACAGGTGCCTGCCACCACGCCCGGCTAATTTTTGTATTTTTAGTAGAGACGAGGTTTCACCATATTGGCCAGGCTGGTCTTGAACTTGGGACTTTGTGATCCACCCGCCTCGGCCTCCCAAGGTGCCGGGATTAGAGGCGTGAGCCACCACGCCCGGCCATGGGGGAGTTTTGGTACAGATTTCCTTCATTGACTGAAAAAAAAAAGAGTCATAAAGAAAAAAAAAACTCCTTTTTGCAGCCGCAGCCACCATTTCTCCACATCCTGTCCTCTCCATCTCCTTTTCTCACATATAGTGACAGTGTCTGAAGCCGTGGCAGCCACTCTGTGGCTATGTAACAACAAACCCAAGGACAACAGGGCCAACACACTGAAAACTGTGGAAAGATGATAATCTCTTGGGACCTTGATGATACCTTTAAATTGTAGAATCTTCCTATAGTTCTTGTTATGTTAGAAATATTTCTTTTATTTGAGCTGAAACCATTTGGATTAGTTAATTATAGCTGCTATAAAAAATGAACTCTAAAACAGAAATAACTTAATACATAAAAATCTCATCTCTCTCTTACAACAGCTAAAACAGGGGTTTTCAGTTGGGTTATTCTCCTTCAGACAATGATTCTGATTCTCTCTTTTTTTTTTTTTTTTTTTTTGAGACGGAGTCTCACTGTGTCGCCCAGGCTGGAGTGCAGTGGCGCAATCTCGGCTCACTGCAAGCTCCCCCTCCCGGGTTCATGCCATTCTCCTGCCTCAGCCTCCAAAGTAGCTGGGACTACAGGCACCTGCCACCACGCCCGGCTAATTTTTTTGTACTTTTAGTACAGGCGGGGTTTCACCATGTTAGCCAGGATGGCCGCGATCTCCTGACCTCGGGATCCGCCTGCCTCAGCCTCCCAAAGTGCTGGGATTACAGGCGTGGGCAACCACGCCTGGCCTCAGACAATGATTCTTGAACCAAGTCTTCTTTCAGATTTTGGCTCCACCATCTCCAAAACTTGGTTTCCAGAGTTAACTTGGATATCACCTCAATTTCTAATTTTAGGAAATGAGAAAGGAATATAGATGATTATGCATGGGAAGTTTTTAATGGAGAAAGCCTAAAACTAGGTTGTATGGTTACTCTTAACTGCAAAAGAGAATTCAAAATCGTTTTTCCATGAAGAATCAGAAAGGGGAATGACTTTATTCCCTCTACCTAGAATAGTGCCTGACTGATAGCAAAAATTCAATGTATAACCATTTAATATATGAATAAATTAGTTTGCTTTGCTCTGCTTCCCAACCAGGAATGTACTGGTTGATAATTACTTATCCAAAATGCTTAGGACCAGAAGTGTTTTGGATTTCATATTTTTTCAGATGCTTTAATATTTGCATATACTGTACCTAATGAGATATCTTTGGAATAGAACCCAAGTCTGAAATTTATTTCTGTTTCATATACACCTTAACACACAGCCTGGAGGTGATTTTATACAATATCTTATACAATATTTAAAATAATTTTGTATGTGAAACAAAGTTTGTATTAAGTATTTATACATGGAATTTTCCATTTGTGGTGTCATGTTGGTGCTTTAAAATTTTCAGATTTTGGAGCATGTCAAATACATATGTCTTTTTTTTTTTTTTTTTTTTTTTTGTAAGAGACAGGGTCTTGCTCTGTTGCCCAGGCTGGAGTACTGTGGCATGACCATAGCTCACTGCAGCCTTGACCTCCTGAGCTCAAGCAATCCTCCTGCCTAAGCCTCCTGAGTGGCTGGATCTACAGAAGCTGCCACCACACCTGGCTATAGACCTAAACATATGTCTTGCAAATGTTTCACATGACCATAGAGTGAGATATTACTTACATCCATGAAAATTCTGAGTTCTAGAGAAACAATTCAAATGGTGCTGTTTATTATTGATTGATTCATAATTTCATTTATATATAGGCAGTAGCAATCTGTCTACAGCCTCCTTAGTGATAATATATGTGATCTTCCTTGTTCCTTCACACTGAGTAAGGTTTCATCCCTGTTTTTTGTAAGAGGTAGTCTGTGTTTTTTCCTTTGCCAATAACTCAGTGAGAGACCACTGCCCTCCAATATAACATCAAAAGTACCTGATCAACTAAGTCAAAAATTTACTTGATCTTCTCTTATGTTATGTAGGAAAAAAAATCTGTTTTGGCCAGGCGCGGTGGCTCATGCCTATAATCCCAGTGCTCTGGGAGGCCGAGGCGGGTGGATCACGAGGTCAAGAGATTGAGACCATCCTGGCCAACATGGTGAAACCCCATCTGTACTAAAAATACAAAAATTAGCCGGGCGTGGAGGCACGCACCTGTAGTCCCAGCTACTTGGGAGGCTGAGGCAGGAGAATTGCTTGAACCCAGGAGCCAGAGGTTGCAGTGAGCCAAGATGGTGCCACTGGACTCCAGCCTGGGCGACAGAACAAGACTCCGTCTCAAAAAAAAAAAAAATCTGTTTTATAAAATCAACGTTTGCTTGAATTGATTGAATTTCCCCATGGTTACAAGGAAATAACCTAGTTTGCCAAAGATGACTCACAGAGTTTATACTTTACCGTTTGTCTTTAGCACATACTCATATCTAGGTCTACCTCTCTATTGATTATTCTTCCTTAAAATCTTTTTCTCTGAGATGATTATGTCATGATTTTACACATCCACATGTATATTAGTCTGTTTTGCATTGCTATAAAGGAATACCTGAGACTGGTAATTTATAAAGGAAAGAGGCTTATTTGGCTCATGGTTCTGCAAGCTGTCCAAGAAGCATGGTGCTAGCATCTGCTTCTGGTGAAGGCTTCAAGGAGCTTACACTCATAGGAAAGGAAAAAGGGGAGCAGATGTGTCACATGGTGAGAGAGAGAGAGAGAGAGAGAGAGAGAGAGAGAGGAGAAGCAGGACTGACTTTTTTGAGCAATCAGATTTGATGGTAACTAACAGACCAAGAATTCATTCATTACCATGGTGACAGCACCAAGTCATTCATGAGGAGTCTGCCCCGATGACCCAGACATCTCCCACTTGGCCCTATATCCAACACTGGGGATCACATTTCAACATGAAATTTGGAGGGGACAAATACCAAACTATATCAATATGATTCTGCACATGAAATGGGTTAGCATAGTTAGAGATAATTAACTAGGCTCCAAGTCTATTAAGTTAATATAAATCCTAGGCAAATAAATTATTTATATTTTCTAACAAAATATGTATTGAAGCTAAGCAGGCACATCTGATGAATCATTCACTCTTTTGTTTGTTGTTTCTTTTTAATTACACAAATTTTCAGTGATTATATTGAAAATCATGCAGGCAAAAGACTTCGAATAAACAAATGAAAGTTCTTAAAAGAAATGTTACATCCTAATGGCAACACAAACCTTCTAATTTTTATTTTTTAATGTAACTTAGAGGCTTTAAGTCACAGGTCAGATTAACTTCTGATGTAACCCAGCTATGCAGACTGTTTCCTACTACTGAAGACATGAACATACATAGAATTTCCATCACCTAAAACTGTTTTGGCATCATTGTGATGGCCTACTGTACTTTTGCAAATTACTTTATCATCCTTGCTGCTTTGCTATTCTTCTTGTCAATGCCATGTCTCTGATAATGTCACTTTGAACAGTGATTGTGTGAATGCTCAGAATTACTAATAATTTCCACAGACAGTATCTTGTAGTGAGGTAGTAACAGAATATTTTTCCATTCTGTGTCAGTGTCTTACAGGACTGATTTTTTACAAGATGGCTTTCTTGGCATCCAATGCAAGGACTCTCACCCCAAGAGAAAACTTTATGCACGAATTAGAAATGAGGGAATAAAGTTTCTTAAACTAGGACTGCATCAGAAGATGTGTTCTCTCTGTCTCTGTTTTTTTGTTTGTTTGTTTTTTGTTTATTGAGACAGGGGTCATGCTTCGTCATCCAAACTGAAGTGCAGTGGTGTGAACATGGCTGATTTGCAGCCTCAATTTCCCAGGCTCAAGCGATCCTCCTACCTCAGCTCCCCGAGTAGCTGGGACTACAGCGCATGCCACCACACCCAGCTAATTTTACATTTTTTTTTCTTGAGACAAGAGTTTTGCCTTGTTGCCCAGGTCTGATCTAGTCCTGAGCTCAAGCAATCCTTCCACCCCAGCTTCCCAAAGTTCTGGGATTACAGGCCTGAGCCACTGCACCCAGCCTGATGTGTACTCTCTTAAAACGTTCTTAAACCGGGCCGGGCGCGGTGGCTCACGCCTGTGATCCCAGCACTTTGGGAGGCCGAGGCGGGTGGATCATGAGGTCAGGAGATCGAGACCATCCTGGCCAACAAGGTGAAACCCCATCTCTACTAAAAATACAAAAAATTAGCCAGGCGTGGTGGCAGGTGCCTGTAGTCCCAGCTACTCGGGAGACTGAGGCAGGAGAATGACGTGAACCCGGGAGGCGGAGCTTGCAGTGAGCTGAGATCGAGCCACTGCACTCCAGCCTGGGCGACAGAGCTAGGCTCTGTCTCAAAAAAAAAAAAAAAAGTTCTTAAACCAACAATTTTCTATAATCACTAATTAATGATGATCATCATAACTTCAACCACGGTATTTTTAAAAGAGATATTTAAGAGACTTTTCCCCTGATAATTTTTATATTACTTAATTTGTGTATTATAACATGAAGGGAATAGGGATCACCGATTTGACAGTCTATTGTTCAGTCTAATTAAGTATATACAAAACTGAATTTCCTTAAAATACTGAAACTCAAGGATTAAAAATAAATTGTTTAGTAAGAGAAAGGAGAAACAAGAAAGCCGATGGGAAAGACAATAAAGAAGGAACAATAAAAAGTTTGTGGGATTGGTTATAGCTTTTTTTTTTTTTTTTTTTTTTTTTTTTGGTGCTAGCCATAAGATTTATCATATGTCAGATAACTAGAAAATCAAAGCCTATATTTTAAAATCCAGGAGCCAAAATTTCGACAGCTGTTTTTTAAACAATGACTCAGATTAGCTAGCTAGCTAGGTAGGTAGGTAGATAAATAGAAGATAGATAGATAGGTATAGGTATAACAAAATCTTTTTCAATTTACATCACGAGTATCTTATGCATTACCATCTTATTATAAATGCAAAATGTACTTTAAAATGCTAATTTTGAGAAAGATAATGACTAAGGCAATTTTATAGTACTTGTGATTTGTTCCGTTAGTATATTACTATTACAATTTCGAAAGACTTATAGAACATTTTTAGTCAGTCTTTTTAAGAAAACCTGAATGTGCAAAATTTAAAACAAGACATTATCTTTTATAAAAGAATATATTAATATAATCTCATCTTTGTTTGAAGGGAAAAGACATCAAATAACCTTTATTTTTTTCCAAATTCATGAATTTATACATATTTGATCAGTATAAGTTTTTGAGATTACTTCACATAAAATTAATCTTTTCAGAATTATTGCTGTTAATTTGATCACCCAGAATACCAGTGATTTACTCACCCTTTTCATGGTACTGGTTTTCACTTTCACCAGCTTACTTTTCTGGGTGATATATGGACCCTCCATAGATATTTACCCCTAGAAAAGAATCTACCTATTCCTAATATGTATGTATCTCAACTTACATAGATGAAATATGCAGGGAAAGGAGATTGTGGATTTGTAAATCTGGAGTAGAATTTAAAAAATCACTGCACAGATAGACCAAAGTTTGCAAACTCAGATGCCAGCAGAGGTTTGGTAGGTAATATACAAGAATTGAACAGCCATATATAAACCAATATATTGGGGTGAATTTGAAAGCCTACGCCCCACGCAAAAAGAGAGCACATTATCTACAAAGCTCAAGCAAATTATTTCCTTGCTGAATGTAAAATCTATCTTTCCAACATAGAAGAAGTCAGAAATCCAATTCTTTATGTCAACTCAGTCTCAGTTAAATGCAGGTAAGCAATTTGAATTACTGTATTAAACAATGTACAAATCATACAAAACAAATCTCTTGGAGACATTTGGCCTACCAGTAAGCCAATTTAAAACCTGTGTGGGGATCTAGTGCAGGAATTACAGATTTTCTATAACCAAAGTCTGAAAAAAAAATTTAAATTGAATTTTAGCTTCATCCAACATAGCCACTTTTTCTACCATTACCTATTATTTCATTCCTGTTAGCTTTAATCATTTACCTGCTTGCAGGTCCTGAATGACCTTGAGATTGTAACTAATGTTGGTCCAAAAATCTCACTGACAATGTTATTGCGGCATGATCAGTGAAAGAGAAGTTGGGTTCATGGTTGAGAAACAGGGATGAGAAATATAGGAGACTGGTTGAATGGAGGTATGGTGGAACTATGACAATGCCCCTGCTGTATCAGATGTGGCCCCTGCTGTATCAGATGTGGCACCTCCTCATCCATTTGAGCAGCCATAGCTATGTAGAAAAATCCTGAATTTATGTCATTAAAGATGTTTGATGTTAACATAAACTGATCATTTATAAAGTAAATAATAGGGATTTGGCGTGTGTGTGTCTGGCCTTGTCAGAAGTAAACAAGGAGAATATTCATAATCTTACTCAAGTCATCTGGGGAAGGATTGCCCCTTGTAGTAATACTTTTCTGGAAAACAAAGAGGTTTGGGGATTTCTTAACCCTAATGCTTTCTAGAATCTCAGGGTTCAGTTAAAACTCAACATTGGCGGCCAGGCATGGTGGCTCACGCGTGTAATCCCAGCAGTTTGGGAGGCCGAGGTGGGCAGATCACGACGTCAGGAGATCGAGACCATCCTGGCCAACATGGTGAAACCCCATCTCTACTAAAATACAAAAAATTAGCTGGGCGTGGTGGCGGGCGCCTGTAGTCCCAGCTACTCTGGAGGCTGAGGCAGGAGAATCGCTTGAAACAAGGAGGCGGAGGTTGCAGTGAGCTGAGATTGCTCTACTGCACTCCAGCCTGGCAACAGAGCGAGACTCCGTCTCAAAAAAAAAAGAAAAAAAAATTCAACGTTGTCAATAAATATCTGATGGTGACGTACAAAGAAAAAGCTAGAGAGAATTTCAGTTTAAAGAATTGTAAGTTCTATTAAGGAGATATTTTTTAACACAGCTCAAGGAAATATTATCCATTCCTGGAATACAGTGGCTCTCAATTGGAGGTGATTCCTTCACGCTGAATCCTTGGGGACACCTGGCAGCATATTTGGTTGTCACAAATGAATGTGGAAATGTGACTGGTATCAATTGGATAGAGGCCGGACTTTACACTAAACATCCTACAATTAACAGAGCCCCCCGCAAGAAAGAATTATTCACCCTAAACTTTCAACAATGCTGAGCTTGAGAGACTTTGCTGTAGGGACAAAAACACAAGTTTGAGAATTTGATAATTCTCTGCCATCTTCAAGCTACATGGATTCCCATAAGTAACTTAGCAAGTATGAGCCTCAGTTTTCTAATATGGTAGTTGGGCAAAATAAAATATATCAAAGAACTTGTGAGGATTAGTGAAGTAAACTCTGTGTAAACACCTACCACAGCGCCTGGCAAAAAAGTCAGGAAGAAAATAATAATTACCTCTCGATTTCCCACCCTCCTTTACATCGACTTCTCACTTCAGTTTCTCCAGACTAACTTTTTGGTGATCAACCATTTCATAGTGATGACGAGGAAAGTCTAAAAATTCTGGGTTTGGAAGTAAGAAAAAATCAGAGCTTTTGTACCACCAGGATCAGTTTTATGATCTTAGGCAAACCAACTTAGTCTCCGTGTTTTAGTTTTCTTATCTGTCAAAAGGACAAAAAGACATTTTCCCTTGCCTGTCTTGGAGATGAAAATAAATGAATTACTAGGAAAAGGAGCAATTTTCCCAGGAGAAGTGATCTATAAATGACTTGTGCTTTAGCAGTGTATGAAAGCACTTTGAGAAGTATGGACATTATCTAAATTAAAGGATTTAAGTTATTTTACTATAAGTTACATTATTTAAATATAATGTATTTAAATAGTTTTTTGATGTGTGCTATTTATTTTTTAAGTTATATTTTAAATTAGAGAACTATCTATAGCATTAAAATATATATAGATGAGTCTCAGATTAAGACTATAAAATTTCTCACATACCAATACACATTTCATCTCTGAATAGTCTTTCTTTTCATATTTTCTCAGTTTTGTTTCTTCAGGTAGTTTTCTTTATACAGTTTAAATAAATATTTTGATTTTTTTCCCCTGATTTACTAGCTTTAGATAGTATCATTTTATTTTACTTTTCAAAAGTTTAATGACATAGTGACTTACCCAACCATATGTTCTCTTTCCTTTCCTGGAGCTTGTTTATATTGGTATTTTAAATTTGTAAAGTTTACAAATTTCACATTTAATATGTAGCTAAAATTGTGCTCTAGCTTTACTATAGGTTGATTTTAAAAATATAAGCACAATAAAAACGACATTTATGATTTCAAAATTATGTGAATATGCAAACCAAATACTGAAATTGAAACTGTGGAGAAGGAAACGCAATCCTATGGCACTAAAGTTCTAATGCTCAAAAGATAATGTCCCAAGCATACACAAGTAGTAGCTTTTCCTTTCTTATGTGCTTATGTTTTCTCCACACATCTTCGGTGACCACTAACTCATGTTCATAATCATCCTCTCACTTTCTTTCTTGAAGGTGTTTTTGCTTTTTTTTTTTTTTAAATTACGTTGTATAGCTTTTTAATGCTCATTGGTTTCCCAGTAAGCAGACTCTGAAACAAAGATTTGTGTTCAGGAAATTGATAGGACATTGATTGGATTTTGTTCCTAAGGATCAACTTGGTGGGGGATAAGGGGAGACAAAGTGAGATTAAACAGGGGAGCAAGATTGAGTAAAAGAAAAAGCTGGCCTGTGGAACACTCATAACAAAGGCCTCAACTGATTTCACAGGGAATCTCTTGGGTGGAGATGCCCCTTTGTCATTGTTCCAGCTGCCACAAGGGAGTAGGCATGGGGTGTAGGTTCCACCCAGGAGGCGGTGTGATCTTGGGCAAGGTGACTCTCGTCAACCAGGACAATATTGGGATGGTGGGTGGAGAGGAACTCAGCTGCAAACTTTCAGCCACCAATACTCCCAGCAGCTGGGGGAAGGCAAGCTTCAGGCCTGAAATATGTGACAGAGCAGGGAAAAATTCAGGCCACATGTAATAGGATCCATCCAGAGCAATCCTCAAGAGGTAGATTTCTCACGAGATCCTTGAACATTTGGAAAACTGGGTTTAGTTTTTTCATTATCCTTCACTGGTAAGTTAATGAAAAGTAGAAATAATTTTCCTCAAAGTGTTTCTTCATTGTCTTTTTAGTACTCAGTGTCTGATGGGAAGTCAAGCGGCCAATCAGATTCCTGCTGTGTGGTGTACATGTTTTACTTTTTCTCTCTATGGAAGATTGAGGAAAGTTTCCCTATCCTGGGAGTTCTGAAACTTCACAGGATTTGGAGCTTTTTAAAATTCTAATCAGCCTTTGTATGTTTTTAATAAGAAGATGTGCCTTCCCTTCTCTGAAGATAATCTTTTTCTAATTTATTTCCTTGTTTCTTTCATTCACTATCACAGTTCTTTTCACCTGGAACTCTTGTTAGATAAAATCCAGAATATTGTATATTTTTTCCATTAAAATAATCTTTTCCTTTATTATTCTTCCCTTTGTCTTTTCTTCTTTTTGTTTCCTGGGACATTTTCTCAAGTTTTATCATCCAGATCATCAGCTAGATCCTTAGGTATATTCATTTTCCTTTCCGTTCTATAAAGTAACATTAAAAATTTTTATTTTACATTATTTTTCTTTTACTTCTTTTTATATGGTTTCTTTATAAACATTTATTGTTATTTTAATTGACAAAATTTGTATATATTTATCATGTACAACAAGTTGCTTTGAAATTCTGTATGTATACATTGTTGAATGGCTAACTCCTGCTAATTAACATATGTGTTACCTCTCACACTTACCATTTTTTCTGATAAGAATATCTAAAATCCATCCTCTCAGCAGTTTTCAAAAATATAATACATTGTTATTAATACATACTGCATGATCTCACTTATATGTGAAATCAAGAAAAAAGTTGAATTCATGAAAGTAAAGAGTAAAATGGTGGTTACCAGAGGCTGAGGTAGCGGGGAGGTGTTGGCCAAAGGATACAAAATTTCAGTTAGGGGAAATATGTTCAAGAGATCTACTGTACAATTTGGCGACTATAGTTAATAATTCTCTTTTATTTTGGCAGCATTCTCTTCTTTTATGAATACAAGTGCTTGCTTTTCTCTTAAGTCTGTGCTGTAGATAATTTCTACCTCTGCTTTAGTCAGCCATATGCTTCCCCATTCTGGTATTTTCGTTCACATTTGGTTCATATGTTTGGTGGTCTATGAGTCATTATTTCATGAATAAAAACACAACTAGTTTAATTGATATAAGTTGTTTGCATAGGTTTACTCTGCAGATACATAGGTCTGGTTCCCAAAGTGACTAAGTTACGTGTGTGTGTGTGGTATATTTGTGTGTGTTGTGTCAGTCTGGACTAAATTTTATATAATCATAACATGTAATATTATATATCAACATATATAAAATATATAACACATACAATATATGCTGTATTTTGGTGTTTGTTTTGTATGTTTTACTTGTTATATATACCATATATTATGTTTCATATGTTGTATATATGCTATATATATATATACATAATGTGGGTATATTTAAATGTGTCTATATGTGCTTTTTAAAGTCTAAATGTTCCAAATGGTTCTTTTGCCCCCAAATGTGTCTTCTGTTAGCCTTAAATTCTCATTATTTTAAATATTTTCATGAAGTATATCTTAGACACGTTTTTTGCTCTTTTTTGCCCATAAGAATCCTCCTCCCCAGTCCCACCCCTTGGCCCAAGGAAAACACTTCTAATCTGATTAGTGTGAAGTCAAACAATAGTGAATTCGTACTCACTAGCGTGCAGATTGAGTATGCATTAAATCATACATGTCCATTTTCTCTGTCTCCTTGGTACTTACATAAAGGTGGAAGAGGACTAGGTTTCCAGTATTCGCCATATTATGCTTCATCTCCTCTCCACTTCCTTCATCTATGTGAAAAGTCCAAGAATAATAAACCCTTGAGATACATATTTTGGGGCAACATATAACGTTCTACATAGGCTGCTCAAAACTGGAGTTTACAAGAGCGGTGTATTAAGATATCAAGAACTTGTGCAACCCTTAATATTATGTTTTGGTTCTTATTTAGCTGTTATTCTTTTTGTGTATTGCCCTATTGAAAACTGTTATAATTGATCATACACATTGAGTCATTCTTGTCATATCCAAACTGAAACAGAGTCTAGAAGCTGGGGGAAAAGCACTCAGCTTATAAAACATTCCTCCAAGAATGTAATTCTCTGCAAGTCTGACTACTAAAATTGCTTGTTGTAACCCGAAACCAGTTTTATCTACAGCTTCTGAGATGACTTGCTGCAATGCTAGGACTAATTCTGCCCACCACCATTGCTCACCAATACGAACTTGCCAGCTCCCCAAACACTTACTAGTGTCAGCGAACTTTCTCAAAGAACAGTATATAACATATCTCCTTTTTTATAAAACCTCTAGCCTTCTCTTTGTTCTTTGGACCTCCAGAATACCCCCAGTCCATGTGTATGCCTCAAACTGCAATTGTTTCTTCACAAACAAAACATTAAATTTGGAGATTTATCTTTACATATTTATTCTGACTTTGAAAAGACATAGAAAAAGAGAAAGTATATGAGCATGCATTTGATTTAATAAAAGTCTCACTCCTAATTCCTAATTCCTAGTCATGCCCATTCAAGCATTCTACTATGTCTGCATGAATCCATTTAAAACAGTAAATATTAATGAAGAAAAAATTCTCATTTATCAATTAGCACCCACCAATATTTATTCTCAAGGAGTTATATTCACGATCTAGATTCTCTACATGTGCCACCAAACACCCCACTTTTACCGCTCCTCATTCTGCTCAGGCTCCTGCATTCAAGTTCTAACTCCACTTACCTTTGTCTCTCTAGGAGAAAGTAAACACACATTCTAACGCAAGTGAGTATTTTTTGGTACTGATAACATTGAAAAATGTCCAATTCAAAATATAAAATTTCTTTCACATCATTTTATGTCACACTAGTAAGAAATACTAGAATTAGTAACAAATTACTTTTCGCCTGCCTCTATTCTGATTGTAACTTACCAATGTGTTTCTACTTCGAGATTGAGAAGTATAGCATTAACACGTTGGAATTAATTCCCTGGTTTAACTAGAAAACTGCCAACAAGGGAAGTGGGACATAAATAGTTTGATAAGAATAAAGAAAATCCAAAGCGTTACACTGCCTGCAAAATGAACAGGTACCTGTACCTGTTCACAAAGTGAACAGGTGAGCAGTCATAGGGCACTATGCTGGTTCATTGCCTAAGACGGCACAGGTAGGCTTGTCTATGTGTATGACCGATATGTGTGTGCACATATCCGATATGTGTGTGCACATCGGAGACCTACGGGGAGGTTTGCAGGAGGTGTTATAGAAAACGGTTGTTTCTTCATCATTTTGCCAAGAGCTCTTGTCCTCCAACCTAACTGTGTCCATACACAGTGGAGCATTATTTGAGTAAATGACTGAGCTCTGGGAAATGGGTAAATGACCCCAAGGCAGAAAGGTGTAAATAGGCTTGCCTGGGCTTCTGTGTGTGTTACTCTGCTGCTGTGACAACCATTGCTAGCATAACAATAAGATCCAGGGTTACCTTTATGGTTGTGTTGAGTTGTTGGGGAAAAATTAGAAGAGAATTTGGATCATCTATTCTCAGGAGACCCGTTTGAATCATCAAAGCTTAATGTCACTTGTCTCTATCTCTTTCAACCATGCATTCCACACACCAATTTGCTTAAATAGTGGATGCACATGCCAAATCTAATTATCCCTTATCTCACAAAGTCATTAATCATTCCCATCCATTATTCATTGACTACCAATAGCTACTCCAATCTTTAGTACATGCAACTTCAGTGCACATTACAATACCCTGTTTATAAGTGGCATTTATCTCTGAAACGTACCGCATGGCATTTTTAAGTTAGATGAAATATTCCTGGCATAAAAACTGGTGGTGTGTTTTATGGTGTTCTTCTCGTAATCCATAAAATTAGTAATATAAAAAGAAAATGCTCAAGATAATTGTGAAGCTGCAGATAATTATTCATGGTGATGTTAATTAGCACAGTGTTGTGAAAATGGTGCACAACCTACACAGTATTCAGGGATCGCAAAGTACTTTGAAAAGAGGTTGTATATTATCCAAAAAAAGCAGAAGGAAAGTGGTGTGAGGGATAGATTAGCCTAGTTAAAAGACAAAAACAATGTGAAATTTGGGGTAACTGAAGCATTCTCTAGCCATTTAATATTCTCAACTGCTGCATACTACACAATTCATATTGTCCCACATATACTTTAACCTTTTGATTTCCTCTAAAATATTTGAGGGGTACTTAAATAGACACAATGATTAAGTTCAAATCTCATTTTTTTTCCCAAAGACACTTACACAGTCTATGGGACAGCAGAGATTTGAACACAGATCTCTTGATGGCAACCCAGAGCTATTTCGTTAATGGATTTATTGGATGAAACCAAGTTTTTTTCAGTGCCTTCTACATAACAAGTTACTATACACAGTGCCATTACATAGCATTTTCAGAAGTCTATTGAAAACGCTAATTATTTATCTATCTTTATATCTATATTTTCATCTATAACCTCTATTTATCATCTATCATCTTTATTTATAGATGAGAAAATTGAGAGTCATCAAGGTTATGTATTTTTCCCAAGCTTCCTAGTTAATAAATAGGTCTGCCATGATCCTAATCTTAATTTATCAGATTCAAACTGTGATGTGCATATTTCCAAGACTACCTTTTGTTAGTTTCCTGTCTTGCTGGCAAGTAGGAAGGACTTATTCTTTCTTTATAATAAAAATGTTAAGTTTCAAAGATTCCATAGAGAAAACCTTGTCCAAGCCACTTATTTTAAAGATAAGAAAACTGAGACTCAGAAAAGGTACTTCTTTACACATATATAATTGTTGTAAACTTTAGGTAAAGCACGCATTTCCTAACTATTGATCTTATTGGTATATTTTCTATAACATTATGCTTTCCTCTTGAGAGGCTCACAATTGGAATGTCATACAATCTTTTCCTCTTGTATTTTCTCTCTTTCTAGTTAAAATCAATACATAATGTAACATTGAGCTCAAAACCTTCATCTTCCATAAATTTTTATCAGATTTCTTGTGCACAAAGAATTTATCTTTTCTTGGAACTAATAGAACATATATATGATTCAATTAATCTTTTCCATTTGCTGTATCTTTTTATTTATTCTGCCTCATAATCACTCATAGTTTCTTAAACATGTTCATATCTTATCCCATGAGCTAGATGACAAAGTTCTGTGAGAAAAACTCGTACACTTCCTGTTTCTACACTCTTCCTGTTGTATTGCCTTGCCATGGTAAGCACTCAATTAGTATCTGGTGATTGCTTGCTTAATGTTTGACCAGGACAAAGAGTAGATTATTTAGCCTATTTTATTTACAAGGTACAGCAAGTTAAATGATATGTGGTTTTATCATTAAAAAGTGAAAAGGGAATTAAGGAGATTGAAAATTCACTGCAATGTTCTGCCTGCTACCATGATGGTGGAAAGCCAAAACAGCAATTTTACCAGCCAGCTTTTCCTGTGGTGTGTTTCTACACCAATGAGCTCAGTATTTTAACATAAACTGTATAAAAATAACTGCTAGTATTTATACTTCAAAATGTATCTATTTAGTTGAGTGTGATGGTGTTCACCTATAACCCCAGCCACTCGAGAGGATGAGTTGGTAGGAGCACTTGAGTCCAGGATTTCAAGGCTGCAATGAGCTCAGACAGCACCACTGCACTCCCGCCTGGGTGACAGTGTGAGAGCCTGTCTCTAAAAAGAAAAATCAAAGTGTCTGTATTTCTCATATTTCATCACACTTTTGGAGTACTGACTTGTACATAGATTTCTGAAAACGCTTTGTAAGCTGAACATAAGACAAAAAGAAGATGATGAGAACCAGCCTTATCTTCTTGAAAATAATTACGAAGCTATAAAAAGAAACAGATACAACTAGACAAGGAACCTTAAGGGTCGGGGAGGGGAGGAAATACTTGGATGCCCTCTCTTCCTTCTGGTCCTCTTCTATGTGTATTGATTGCCTCAGACACCTTCAGAGTAATCATATTGTGGAGAGCATGGATGAACATCTAAGAGGGAGAAAATATCAGGATATTAAGTAAAACTAGGTTTTCAAATGCAATAACCACTCACTGTAGCTTTTCGGGGATGATATTTGCCTGGCAATAACTTTTGATTTAAGAAAAATCTTTTTCACCAAAACCTATCCCTTCTCTGAGATGGGTTCCAATCTAGATAAATGGCAAAGCTATTCTCCTGTTTACTCAAGACCCAAACCTAGATGTTACTGTTGATCCCTTTCTCTCCCTTACCTACTATAGCCAATCAATCACCAATTTCTGCTGAGTCTACTCCCAAATATTTCTTGAGTCTTTCCATTTCTTTCCAATCTGTTACTATCACTGTAGTCTGAACCAATATTATCTTTTACCTAGACCATTTATTTACTCCAAAGTAATTTCTATCACTATCGACCACCAAATAAGTGTGGAAGTTAACAGTGCCAGCTTTCAAGTCAGACTGCTCACTGGTTAGCTAAGCAATATTAGGCAATTTTTAAAGCTTTTTGTAAGATGAAGATAATAATATTTACCTTGTTACCAGCAGCAAATGGGTCTGCAGCACTCAATACTTGCCTAACTGGAGGAAAAAATTTGGCTGAGGGCCAGAAGTAGGTTGAAGGCAAAGGGAGAGATAAAGGCAAGTTTGTTTTTTTGTTTTGTTTTTTGTTTCTTGTTTTGGAGACGGGGTCTCACTCTGTCACTCAGGCTGGAGTGCAGTAGTGCAATCTCTCAGCTCACTACAATCTCTGTCTCCTGGGTTCAAGCAATTCTCCTGCCTCAGTCTCCCAAGTAGCTGGGGCTACAAGCACATGCCACCACACACAGCTAATTGTGTGTGTGTGTGTGTGTGTGTGTGTGTGTGTGTGTGTGTGTGTTTAGTAGAGATGGGGTTTCACCATGTTGGCCAGGCTGGTCACAAACTCCTGACCTTAAGTGATCCACCCACCTCGGCCTCTCAAAATGCTGGAGTTACAGGTGTGAGCCACCGCGTCCAGCCTAAAGCAAGTTTAAGAGCAGGAGTGAAAGTTTATTAAAAAGTTTTACAGCAGGAATGAAAGCAAGTCAAGTACACTAGGAAGAGGGTCAAGCAGGCAACTTGAGAAATCCAAGTTCCCCATCTGGCCCTTGACTTGAGGTTTCATACATTGGCATTCATCTAGGGTTTGCATTTCTTCTCCCTTGATTCTTCCCTTGGAGCAGGCTGTCCACATGCACAGGGGCCTGGTAGTACTTAGGAGGGGCTGCATGGTCAGTGTGTTTACTGAAGTTGTGCAGGTGCTCATTTGAAGCATTTTTCCCTTACCAGTAGAGTGTTCCAGAGAAAGGTCATATACCAGTTAAACTGCATCATTTTGTCTTTTACTGTGCATGCCTGAACCCACTTGCTCAAGTCCTGAGATCTTATCAGGAAGCTGCTAATCACCAGCTTCAGGTGTTTTCTGTCTATTGGGAGACTGGTGTTGGCTGTGGCCAATTATTGTTTTAGCAAGACAGATTAACAACCACTTGATCATCACCTGATGGTCACCTGACATTCCAGATGGGGGGCCCTCTCCTGTCCTGCTCGAGTATGCCTACCTAGGTACTCTAGCATTTCTGCCCTCAAGAGTACAAGACTCAATTATTTGGTATAATGGATGAAAGTCAGTCTTTTGTGGTAGTATGTTCTGTGAGTCTTGGTCTCTTGCTAGCTGTCAGGGAAAAGTGGCTCCATGGGTTGGTGAAAGTGGTATCCAGCTAGGTCCAAGGGAGAAGGGCAGGAATTCCACTCTGTTGTGTTTCTCTGATGGGCATTCTAGGGTCTTCTAAAAGGATGCCTCTTGAATATTGAGAGGACAGTATCCCTCATTGAGGATTATTTGGAATTTGATGGCCTGAAGGCAAGAGGAGACAAATTGGGTTATTGTGCTTAGAAGACATGTACCTGTACCAAAAAGACTAACAAGTGGGCCTAAAAAGGGAAAATCCCAGGAGAACCATTTCCAGGTTTCTTCCCAATTTAGCCAGTTCTGAGTGTCTTGTTCTCATAAACTGGAAGTTCAATTTAAAAGTTGTCTGATGTGGTCTTGTACTTTTCCCAATTGATTTACCCCAAAGCAACATTTTTCATCTGAGTCTAAACAGATTTCTCCCTGTGCTGCCAGTAACATATCTAGGTCTTGACAATTTTGGAGGACTATGGCTGCTAAAGAGTCAATTTGTTGTTGCATAGTTGTTAAAGTTTTATCCATGTCATCAGTGTTGCTGGGTATTTCCTTTGAGAGTTGGCTACAGGCCAAGGAGGCTTTTGTGATTCCAGCAATTCCAGTACCCATACCAGCTATAATGCCAAGTCCTATGAGAAGGGGGGTTAATTGGATAGACCTCCTCATCCTGGGAAGGATGGAATGCCTCTGGATTGGTGCTGGAAGAGAGAGACTCCTGGGGATTTGAAGATGTCAGGGATACATAGGCTATGGTACAAGTTCCAGACTAGTTAGTCAGAAGACATTGGGGAACTGATTGGACACAAATATAGAAGGTTCCTTGGACTTAAAGACAAGGAGCCTTCTATATTTGTGGAGAGGGTAGAGATGTCAAAACACAATAAAGTCTGACCCTTTCTAGCATAGCTAGGGGGCATGCCTAACTCTGTATGTTCCCATGCCTTGCCTAGAATTTAATGGATTTAAAGCAGGCAAGCAGTACAGTTACTAAGAGTCACAGTAGCAGTTTATACTACTAAAGCATTTAGTAGACCTAATAACCTTTACAATTTTACATTTTTTTAAATAAATTCCCTTTCACAATTTGTTTATGACTTACATAGGTCACCTACAACATACTTGGATGATTTGACTTGTCCTAAACATCCCTCTTTGTAAACAACTAGTCATTTTACTTTAGGACAAGAATGTACCATGCAAGATCACTTCTCATATAAAATCTATTTTCTTTATAACCTTTCTTACCAAAAAATCTCTTTACCTTTATAACCTTTGAATTAGACTAAAGTAATTTTCCTTCTGTTAAGAAGTTATGTTGCTGTGCAAGTACTACGAAGAGGGAGAAGATAAGGAGATTATCTGAATACTTTAGAAGTTATTCTCCCTCAAGGGATTGCTCAGTTAGATTTCTTACTAGGGCTTCTCTGAGTAAACATGGACTATTTCTAAACCCTTGAGGTAGGACTATCCAGGTTGAAGTTAAAGATTTAGGTAACTTTCCCAGGAGAAATAGGGCTACTAGAGGGAAAGATTAATTCAGAGTTTGGGTAGATATTAAGCAGGCACCCATCCCAAAGGGGTGTGGGGCTTTTAGACATTACCTGGTACTTATGTAAGAATAGTAATTGGCCCCTAAGTAATATAAAGGTGTGTGAATCTTTTCTTTTCGAGGGAAGTGATACCATTTTCCCCCATTACCCAACAGGATTTGGAGGAGAGTTGCTTAGAGAAGGAGATTAGCACAGACTAGGCAGCTCTCGAACCCAAAAGAGAAATTTATAACTACTTCCTGCCTCCAGAGTTGCCCTTGGCTTTGTCCTGTTGATGGCCAGCAATGTCTGATCTGGGAGCTAGCTGGAGCTGGAACCCCTTCAGTTTAAGGCCTTTATTGGATTGGAGCCTGGCCCAGGGGCATTTTTGGCTCTTGGAACATCCTTTTTCCAGTGGCTGAGCTTGTGGCAGAGGGGGCAGGCTATGTGGGGGTTTCTCCCATTTGGCCCATTTGGGCAATTCTTTTTCCAGTGGTCTGGTCTTCTGCACCAATGGTAGTTATCTAGAGGAGTGTCCTTACAGCAACCTGGAGGGGGCTGGTGGGCTTGCAGAGCAGCCAGTAGTTAAGACTCCCTCCTGTTTGTGCATTTCTCCTTCTCCTTAGCCCTGTCCTCCTTATTCTGCTCTAGGTTTTGAAAGACTGAGGAGGCTAATTTGAGTATTTCTTGTATAGGGGCACTGGGTCCTGAGGCTGACTTTTGTAATTTTCTACCAGATCATTTTTAGGCTGAACAGTATTACAAAGGAAAACTAGATTTTTGCTTTAAGATTTGGGGGGATCAAAATTTTCCCAGGTTTGGGTATGCATCGAAGGGTCATGTCCTGTGGTGTGCAGACGCAATTAACTATATGTGCAGAAAGAACAAAGGAGAGAAGAAAATGAAGACATCCTTTCTAGTTTTCCTAACATCTTTTTCCTGCACTTATGGCAGACTGGAGTGAACAGAGTGTTCCCCATTCATCCTAGGGGTTCCAGAATGAACCAGTGCTTACTGGGTACCCATAACCTTGGTCCCATCTTGTTTTATGAAGGTACAATTAACCATTTGTGAAGATACAACACATGAGAGAAGAGAAGAGGAGGGCACCCTCCCACCCCTGTTTTTCCCTGAATCCTTTGCCTGTGGCAGATCAGAGTGAACAGGGTTTCCCCCATTCATCCAAGGGGCTCTGGAATGAACTAGTGCTTGCTGGGTACCCCTAACCTTGGTCCCATCCAATTTCTGGGACCAGCCTTCATCTCTGTCCTACAGGTACTTTGGTCTCTTATGCCTGTGGCCTTGGGCCAGCCTATATCTTTGTTGCCAAGACCTTACAGTGACTCTTGTTCAGAGCATTCTAGAAGTTACAAGAGCTGGCAGAGCCAGAGGTCCAATTAGTGTGTGTCCTGGCAATGAGCCGAGACACATCTATGAGAAAGCCCATTTCTTTGTTGCCACACAATGCAGCAAAAGCTGTGGACATATAAATAACAAACTGGGAATGTGGTCCTGAAGGAGCACAAGACCATTTCAGAATACAGACAGACAAAACAGGAGAATAGGCAGTGCAGGTTTTCAGGAAACAAGCAGAGGAAACCTTGAACATTACACGGCCTTAGGCTTTAGCCCTACCACTCTCAGGAGCCTCCTGTCCAAGAGGGCCATTAGTGCCTCAGGTCTACTCTGTGCAGACTCCAAGGTCCTTCCCAACCCCATGAGTCACTCATCAGGGGGAGCTGTGAGATCAGCTGAGAACAAAGCCACTGTGACCAAGAGGAATCATTCTGGGCATTGGTTAGTAAGCAGGAGAGTGAAAGGGGAGAAAGAATCCATGTACAGGGGTTGTACGCCCTCAGCCAAAGAAAGCAAGGCATAGAGGTGTCTTACCACTAGGGAATGTGCCTGAGTCACAGCACCAATGTATATTACCAGCAGCAAATCCATATGGATCTGCAGCAAATCAATCCTTGCCTCCTTGGAGGAAAGAATTTAGCCAAGGGGCAGAAGTAGGTTGAAGGCAGAGGGAGAGACCAAGACAAGTTGTAGCGGGACCAAAAGTTTATTAAAAAGTTTTATAGCAGGAATGAAAGGAAGTCAAGTACACTTGGAAGAGGGCCAAGTAGGTGACTTGAGAGATCCTAGTTCCCTGTCTGTCCCTTGATTTGAGGTTTCAAATACTGGCATGGTTCTGGGATTTGTGTTTCTTCTCCATTTATTCTTCCCTTGGGGTGGCCTGTTCACATGCTCAGTGGCCTGCTAGCACTTGGGAGGGGTCACATTTGCAGTGCAGTTACTGAAGTAGTGCAAATGCTCATTTGAGGCATTTTTCCCTTATCAATCAACTGTTCCTAAAGGAAGATCATTTACTGGTTAAACTCCACCGTTTTTCCTCTTGGTGCACATATTTGAGCCCGGTCATCCAAATCCTGAGAGCTTATCAGGAAGCGGCTGATGACAGATTCAGCTCTTTTCTATCTGCTAGGAGACCGTCTTTTCCTGGTGTCAGCTGAGACCAATTATTATTTTAGAGAGACAGTTTAACAATCACCTGACCATCACCTGATGGTTGCCTAACATTCCTGGGGCAGCCCTCTCCTGCTGTGCTCATGTCTCCCTAACTATCTACTCCAACAACCTCACTGGGTTGTTTTAAATATTAATGTGTTAATAGACGTTTGCCCCAAAAGAAGCCTGCTGAACAGGAAGATAGTCAGCAAATATTAGCCATTATTTTATTACCGCACCCAACAGGCCCAGTTATATCAGTTATATATAAAATGCCTGTCTGATTATGCCTTTTTTTTTTTTTTAGACAAAGTCTCACTCTGTCACTCAGGCTGGAGTGCAGTAGCCTAATCATGGCTCATTGAATCCTCAACCTCCCAGGCTCAATCTTCCAACTGCAGCCTCCTGAGTAGCTGGGACTACAAGCATACCACCACACCTGGCTAATTTTCTTATTCTTATGTAAAAGTGGGGCTCTTGCCATCTTGCCCAGGCTGCTCACAAACTCCTAGACTCAAGCGATCCTCCTGCCTCCATCTCCCAAAGTGCTGGATTGCAGGCATAAGCCATCATGCTCAGCCTGACTATGCCCTTTTCAAGCTTAAGACCATTCAATGACTTCCTATTATTTTTGGAATAAATTCCAAAATTATTGACATAGCTCCACGTGAGCATTCTTGATTCACCTCTGCACACCTCTCCAGCCATATCTTTGCTATTCACTGTCTCCCTCATTATCTGATCTTGAGCAGCAGTGGCTTAATTTACATTTCTTAGGCACACAAGGTTCATTTGGCCTAATAAAGCCCCTGCATGGCAGCTCTCTTATACCTTCCTTGGACTAGAATCCCAGTTATCTTCCCTTCACTCCTGATGTTTCTTCAGAAACCAACTTGAAGAATACTTTCTCAGGGCCATTTACTATGTGACATTATTATGTGACCACTCAAGACAAGATCAAATCCCATGTTTATGCAATTTCCTAATACCTAGAATTATAGCCAATTAGTTACTTATGTAATTATATGTCTTTGTTTCTATCATGTAAATTTTATTACATTAAGTTTGTAATGAAATGGGAAATGTCTGTTTGTTAACCAAGGTATCACTAGTGTCTAAAAGAGTACCTGACATCTAGTTAACGTTTAACAAATAGTTACAGTTATAGAATAAACCCATTATAAATAAATGAACTAAAAAAATAACTGTGGAGTTACTCTGATTCTGTTCTTTGACTTTCTAGGGATTAATGCTGGATCTACTTAGCAAGAGGACAGCCAGGGACACCTTAGAGATAATTCATCCTAACCACTCCTTTTACAAATAAAACCAGACTCCATGCAGCTATAAAAAGAGCCTTTCTCAACCTTCCTCCAGTCATAAGTTCTTTTGTTTCTCTATCTACCATAACTGTGAAAGGAATTCCATACTTTAACTCGGGCATTAGTGGTGATTAGTTGTCCAATTCATAAAGTTGTGCATTGCTGAAAGGGGTAATCCAAAGGTCTAGAATTCAAATGTCAGAAGTAATGAGATCAGTAAAATACAAGGATAAAAAAGGCTTGAGACCACAAAAAAGTATTTCTTCTATCTCATCTTGTAAAAATCATCTCTGAGTATAAAATATAACATGATGTATATTTTTAAAGATTTCTCAAATGAACTCTAAACAGGAAAAGACAAAATTAAGGATAGAAACTTGGATCTTGGTTGGTGCTGTAAAACTTGAGAAAGTTATTTATTTTTGTTCTTTTCCCTATGAGGGAAAATGGTATTTCCAATTTCAAGAAATCCAAACATATATAAGCTTTGAAATCAGAAAAATTAGAAGCCAATTATACCATTTTTAAAGTATTTTCTTTGCTTCCTCAAATAGTGAGCCACCTAAGTTCAATAGATCATAATGGCTTTTTTTTTTTTTTTTTTTTGAGACAGAGTCCTCGCTCTGTCGCCCAGGCTGGAGTGCAGTGGCATGATCTTGGCTTACGGCAAGCGCCTCCTCCCGGGTTCACGCCATTCTCCTGCCTCAGCCTCCTGAGTAGCTGGGACTACAGGTGCCCTCCACCACACAGGGCTAATTTTCTTTTTTTTTTCTGTATTTCTAATAGAGACCGGGTTTCACCACGTTAGCCAGGATAGTCTTGATCTCTTGACCTCTTGATTCGCCCTCCTTGGCCTCCCAAAGTGCTGGGATTAAAGGTGCAAGGCACCGCGCCCAGCCCATAATACCTTTTTAAACATGTATTTAAATTAGATTTTTACCAAGCCATATTACCAGGCTAAGTAAAAAGGTACCTGTTTCATAATTGAGATCGTGTATATATTTCCAAAATGACCAAATACATACTTTTATTGAAAGCAACCCATATTTTGAATACCTTTATCTTATATAATTTTGTTCTAGTCTACACCATCATTGCTACTGACAAAAATTATATAGTACTTTATTGTACTCAAGTTTGTTTTGTCTTGTTTTGAGACAGGGCCTCACTCTGTTGACCAGGCTGGAATGCAAAGGTGTGATCTTGGCTCACTGCAACCTCTGCCTCCAGGGCTTAAGCTATCCTCTTGCCTCAGCCTTCCAAGTAGCTGGGACTACTGGCTAATTTTTTGTATTTTTTTGTATAGACAGGATTTCACCACATCGCCCAGCCTGGTCTTGAACCCCTAGGCTCAAGCAATCCACCCGCCTCAGCCTCCCAAAGGGCCAATATTACAAGCGTGAGCCACTGCACCTGGCCACATTTCAAGATATTTTGTATTTTCTATTCTTGAACAGTCTTGACTGAACATGAATGCTCTCTTTCTGTCCACCCGGAGTAGTTGAAAGATATTTATTTAAAAGTGATATTAATGATATAAATAGATAAAAGAAGAGTATCACCTGGATAAGAATTTGGAAATAAGAGAAAAGTTTACATTTGAAATGCAGGTTTTACATGAAATATATATATAATCGGAGTTGTTTTTTACAGTGAAGTTCAACTGTTCTTTTTGTTCTTGCTGTTCCGATGCTCTCTCTCTTGTTTCTTTTTGAGTGTCACAGACATTTATATTCCTCTTTTCTCAACCTAACCTTTCCCTGATTACAGGCATTTGTACTAATTACTGTGATTCCACAGTTCAACACAGACAGCTTTGTTCCCACTGCTACAGAAGCACAGAGCTGCATCAATATTGAGTAGGGGGTTCTTGAAAATAACCTAAGTGGCATTTTGGAATAGATATTCCTCCAATGGGTAAGATACCTACCTAAAACCACAAAATATACATTCAATAGCATATTTTTTTGAAATTCTATAGACTTTCCAAACAACTTTGTTTAGAATAAAAGATTCATAATATGCTAACACAAATGTAAATATTGTACCAGGTCACACCTAAAGGATGGAAAAGTCTAGTAAGTGAAAATGCCCATTACTCTTGGGCTGTAAGATTTTCTACCAGAGAGGTTGCACAGTAATATACCCTAACTGTTAAGAATGAGAAAGTTTGTTGCTGTTGTATTTTGTTTTATTTTGTGGGCATCTGTAAGAACTAGAGAAAAACTGTAGAGTCCTGTGTGTGTTTTGTTTCACCTATGGAATACTGATTCTCTTCGTGTTAAAATGATTAATTCTTATTTGTTATAAAATAGAGAATATTATATAAGTTCTGGATTCCTGTATTCTCTTGAAAATCATGAAGTTCTGCCAACTCTGGGCCCAATTTCATCTAGCAGCTACTGCTGCAGTATGGTGCTTAGACTCACAGAGGGAGGTGGCTTTCCAGTTCAGCCCCAACCCCACCTCTGTCTTTGCCTACCATACACTGAAACCTAGAGTCAGATGGCATTTATCATTTTTTCCCTAATATTAGAGTTGAAAATATATTTTGTAAATATCTGTGTTTCTATCAAGATGGGTAAGATTAAAAATGGACCCGAATAGCTGTATGATTCAAATAAAAGAGGTGTAGTCCAAAAAGAAAGAATATTTCTTTGTGGAAACAAGGGACATTCCACATATTTAATTTGTAATGTTGTCTGTGTGAAAGACTACATCTTTGTCATCTGTGCATTCTACTTTACTATACACATTTATATTTATTTACTTGCCCCTTAGTAGCTTAGTCTACAGCCACTGTGACTGTCATATTCAGCCATGGTGTAAGCTGACATTTTTTTAAATGGGTGTGTGAACATGTGTACACTTCGGAAAAAGTGGCAAAGGATATACTCCCTATGTCAACTCATTATACCTAGTTCATGCGTTTATCAGTTATTTTAACTTTCTTTTGTTTATCTTTTTCATGTTATGAGTTTTGACCATGTGCTTGTGTTAGATTTAAAAACAGAAAAACAATAAAATAAAATGAAAAAAGTAAGAAAATGGTTTGTTCAGAATGCTAAACACATATTCCCTTTTTGTTCCCCTCTGGATGCAATTAATGCATACTTCAATCTTCATAGAACCTAATCCAAAATGCAAGGGTCTTTATAATCAGCCTTCCCAAATTGATTTTTACTCAATCAAAACCCTCCTCTCCAGACATATTGATTTTTTTCATTGTCCCTTAAACACACCTGAACTCGGAACCATTTCCTCCTTCACGTCTGTATTTATTCTGTTAAGCCTCTTGACTTCCCTCCCAGCCCAGAATATCTTATTTTGTTGATGCATCAAAATACTCACATCATTCAAGTCCAGTTCAAACTCCTTATTAATGCTTCCCTTAGACGCCGGAAGTGATCGCTGTTCTCCCTAATTGCAATTGCACTTAAACCAACTGTAGCGAACAGCTCAATCTTTGTTAAATATTTCCTCATAATTCCTCTGAGGAGCACTAAGACCCTGAGATATTGATAGTTTTTGTGATATAAAAATTTCCATGGCTTAAAAAATAATGCAAAAATGTTCAGAAACATTTGGTTTAAACAAAATTAACCAGATTTATTTACTGCAGTATTTCTCAGACCATTAGAACATGTGTAGTCTCCTGCTAATAGTGAAGAGTGGTTTTAATATAAGGAATTTTACAAAATTTTGTCAGCATCAAACTGACAATTGTCCTTATGATTTTGTCCATATTTTCTAGTAGAATAATGTCCTGCAGAAGATAATTTGGGTGATCCCAGTTCATAATATAGTTTTATGTGTATCTCTTTATTTCAAACCAGCTAGCAAATTTCTAGTCACTGAACTTGTTCTTACAAATATTTTTACACGTCGAGATCCTTCAACACTTATGAGTTCATGGTATGTGTGCAAAAACCACGAATAGATAAGGAGGGGAGTAACAATACATTGTCCATTGGCTAAGATACCGGAGCAGTTCAAGGGGACAGTCATCCCAGATTCAGGGAAACAGGAGGAAACCCATCAAAGGATATTAGGTAACCTCTGACAGTCTGGCAATGTTTCCCTCTTCATGACACTCGGTCCTTGCTTCTCCTCTTCTGTCTGGACCAAATGATTTCAAACTCAGGCTTCCTGTAGCTCTCCAGTGTGAAAGAGGCTTAAAGAGATAGGATCACTTCAATTCAGGGTGCAGCCTCATTTTTCCCTCTGCTGTTCACATATTGATAGGAACTTTACATCTGTCATGTCTCCTTTTATAGATGAATGTAGGGAGGGTGGATGATAATGCATTCCAATATTTATTCAATTTCAAAATGAAAGACAAGTTGAAAATCCTTCATGAGGATGCAATCCACGGAAATATGAGAGCTGTCTACCTACCATCTCTAACAGATTTTGGCCTTTGTTTATTTCCGAAGCACTTATTTGTCATTAAGATAATTTTTGTTTATGTTTTCTCAGGCATATTATGATTCCCTTAAGTTTCCAGAGAGCCTTGTTCTATGCTCTGTAAAGGAGAGGCATATGTGGGTTAAATAAGAATTTAATATATGCTTAATGAATATATCACTTATTTGTAGAATGCATTCTTGTTCCTCCTTGATATTCTTGCCATGCCAAACCATCACGATTTCTGTCATTTGCCAAAGTATATTCTTACTTTGCACTTACACTGATTACACCTGATAGCCCATTTTGCTGAGTCATCCTACTGTTCTCTGTGTCCTTACTTCTCATAGTGTTGTCAGGAAACCAGCAGCATAGGCATCCCCTGAGAGTTTGATAGAATGCAAAATTGCAGCTCCAACTCCAGACATAGTGATTCAGAATACGCATTTAAACAAAAGTCCTTGGCAATTCTTATGCTCATTAGAGTTGGAGAAGCTCTGTTCTAAGTGTTCCCTGGATTTTTCACTGTGGGCTGAGGCACGTGGTATATAGACATCTCTCTCTCTCTTAACTTCTTCTGTTCTCCTGGGCATTGTCTTCAATATTTCTCTTTCTTTTTCCTTTCAGCAAGTGCACCTGCTTAGGACTCACTAAACCATTTTCACAATTAATTTTCCATCTAATCAAAACCCTCCTATCCATATATCTCTACTATCACTCCAAAAATAAAAGTTTCATTGAGGTCTGCCTCCCCTATAGTTAGCTAGCTCAGATGGAAGTTGTAGGCTATTCCACTTGCCAGGCATTTTTCAGCCCATTGTTTGCATTTTTGTTCCATCATTTTCCTGAAACTTTTTAAGTCACAATTACCTAAAATTGTTGAACATATTGAGCATTTTTTGAATTTCAGTTGTCTGGTCTCTCTGTCACCTTTGACACTGTTGTTACGTTCTTCCTTAAAACTCTCTTTTTCCTCAGCTTCTGAGAAATAATCCTCTTCCGATTCCACAGAGACTCAGATGGTTCTTTCTCATTTCCCCACATCTGTGTTCCCATCCAATCGGTATTATCCTTCCATCCATGCATCCATCCATGCATCCATCCATCCATCTATCCATCCATCCATCCATCCATCCATCCATCCATCCATCCATTCATCTTCAGCTTTCTTTTTTTAATCTCTCTATACATTTTTTATAAATGATGCTTCTGACTTTCAAGACTTCAACTACCAGATCCAGAGCTACTGATTCCTTTCATCAGTGACCATGCCTTTTCTCCCACATGCCTCTCTGAATGTGAGATATCTCTCCCTGTCAATACAACCCACACTAAACTTATTTTCTCCCCACCTCTTCCATTCTATATTCCTTAGCTGGGCTGGTAGAATTGAAAAGTCTTTCTCAACTCCTACTTCCTTTTCTGTGCACATCCAATTATCCCCTGCATTCTGTCAATTCCACTGTCTTAACAACTCTTAAGTCTATCTTGCCTTCCTATCACATAGTTACCAACTTAATTCAGAATTTCTTCATTATTTCTTACCTTCACTGCAATAATGGTCTCCTAGTAGGTTTTCTTTCTCCTTACCCACAGAGTTCTTCCTAATCAATTTTTCTTACTTCTTACACCATGAAAAAGCTTCCCTTCTCATTCTGTAGCCATCTCAATGGGTTTGTTCTTGCAGGTCTACCAAAAGCAAGGAAGGGCTCCTGAGGTTATACCAATGTAAAAGGATAGAAAGGTGAGTAATTCAGATGAGATGTGGTTTCTCAGACAACACTCCCTTCCAACATCTATGAAAATAGATGAACATGAAGCAAAATTAAAATAATAGCAAATAGTCTGGGCACAATGGCTCATGCCTGTAATCCCCGAACTTTGGGAGGCCAAGGCAGGAGCATTACTTGATTCCAGGAGTTCAAGACAAGCCTGGGCAAAATGGCGAGACCCTGTCTCTACAAAATTAAAAAATTAGCCAGGCATATTGATATGTGTCTGTGGTCCCAGCTACTTGGGAGGCTGAGGTAGGAGGATTGCTTGAGTCCGGGAGGTCAAGGCTGCAGTGAGCCCTGATTGAGCCACTGTGCACCTGCCTGGGCCATAAAGCAAAACCCTGTCTCAAAAAGTAACAAGAAGAAGAAGGGTAGCAAATAAATAGCAAAAATATAGCAAAAAAAGAAAATATAGCAGTCCATAAAAATAAAAGTTCAAATTGATTCTGAATAAAAAACATGCTTTCAAATCCATCTGAAGAATTCCTACCTTAGCTACTGATTTGTTATCAGAAAAAACAAACACTGTGAAATATTTAAAGAGGTTTATTCCAAGCTAATATGAGTGACCATGGCCTGGGGAACAGTCTCAAGAGATCCTGAGGCCTACAGGTATCCTGAGGTGGATTCAAAGATTTTCTGGGCTGGGCATGGTGGCTTACATTTGTAATACCAGCACTTTGAGAAGCCAAGGTGGGCAGATCACCTGAGGTCAGGAGTTCGAGGTCAGCCGGGCCAACATGGTGAAACCCTGTCTCTACTAAAAAAAAAAAAAATACAAAAATTAGCCGATCATGGTGGCACAATCCCAGCTACTCTGGAGGCTGGGGCAGGATAATTGCTTAAATCCAGGAGGTGGAGGTTACAGTGAGCCAAGATTGTGCCACTGCACTCCAGTCTGGGCGACAGAGTGGCGCCATCTCAAAATAATAATAATAATAATAATTTCTGATTTGGAATTTGTTGTAAGAGTTAAGCTTTATCTTTAGACTGGAAGTCTTTGTCTAAAGACTTGAAGTTAGTAGGCAGAAATGCTCAAGTTAAGATTGGGGGTGTTGTGATGACCAAGGTTTCTGTTATGTAGATGAAGCCTCAGGAGTTGCAGTCCTTACAGAGAATAGATGGTAAATGTGTCTTTTGGGAACTTGAAAGTTTTCAGACTCTTACTTAATCTTTTCTAGATCTGAAAAAGGTCTGGAAAGGGAAGGCCTGGCCGCATTAATGGAGATTCTCTACTGATGCAAATTTCCCCCACAAAAGACAGCTTTGCTGTCATTTCAAAATATGTCAAAGAAATATATTTTATGGTAAAATATTTTATTTCCTTCGGGATGTGCTTTCTGTCATTTCTGTCATGTGATGTTATACTAGAATCAGGTTGGAATTTAGCATTTTATTGCCACAAGGATTCTTTTTTGTCAGTCTTAGGATCTCTGTTTTAACTTTAATGCCTGTCACTTATGCCTAAGCTCCAAAAGGGAGGGGATATAATGAGGTGTGTCCAACCTCCCTTCCAGTTACGGCTGGAAATTCAGGTTTTCAGGTCTTTCTAGGGTCCCCTTGGCCAGAAGTTTGTCAGTTCAGCCAGTTGGCGGAACTGAAAATTTTACTTACGGTTTACAGACTTTAGAAATAAACCCCACTAATTGCCCATCCTATTTTGAGATGGTTCATTCATATATGAAAAACTCCTGTTCCTTTACATCTTGATTTATACCTAAAAACTCTGTGCAGGTATGATTTCTGTCATTCCAGAATTCTCCATGCCTACAAGTAGTGTTAGAAATTTCCTTTTTGCAAAACTACTTCTTCTGAAGGAGAGTGTTGGAAGCTATCTTATAGTTTGGATTCATGGGCTGGGGTTTGGAAAAGAGAATTATTCCAGGGGGTTATGAAGAATCCTAAAATCTTAACAGAGCAAAATCTCCCAATCTATATATATGTATATGTATGTGTGTGTGTGTGTGTGTGTGTGTGTGTGTATATATATATATATATATATATATATATATAGTTTTTTTTTTTTTTTCTTGAGACAGAGTCCCATTCTGTCACCCAGGCTGGAGTGCAGTGGTGAAATCTCGGATTTGCCATTGCATTACAGCCTGGGTGACAAGAGCAAAACTCCGTCTAAAACAAAAAGCAAAAAACAACAACAACAATAACAAAAACAAATTGGCCAGGAACATTTCTGTTTAGGAAATTTAAGACCAAGGAACTGAACTAACATTGGGTACTTACCAGAGTCTAAGACCTGTTATTCATGGGCATTTAGATAAGTTTTCTCATTTAATGTTTATAACAACTCTATTGATAAGGACATGTTCTCAATAGAGAAAAATGAGGAAAGATAAATGAAAATAACAATGGAGTACTTAATGCCAAAAACTTTATCAGGCGTCGTGAGGTATCTATTATATAAAGCTCATTTTGCAGATGAGGAATGCTGCTCTGAGAAGATGAGTGAGCTGCTCATGGAAACGCAGCTCTTAACTGCTAAAGGGAGGAAGTAAAGCTTTGCCTGCTTTACTTCAAGGCCCGAGCTGTTTTCATTATAACAATCTACAGTCTTTAAGATAGGTGAAGACCATTTTGGACGCAAATGAGCTAAACTGCTTATCTATTTGTGTTTTAATCAGGTCTGTCTGTGAAGTTATCTTCCAGCTATTTTGTATTCACCCCACGATACCTAGCACTGTGTTCTACCATACATGACCATCAATAAATGTTTGCTAAATTGATGGATGGGCCTTGCTGTGCTATTAAGGAACACTCATCACGCTACAGGAATTGCTTTGTCCCCACGTTAACAGACAACTGGTTATGATGAACTTCTAAAGGAAAATAAAATTATGCTTCTCTGAAAACACATCTAATAAAATGAGGATGTTATTATCATTTGGTTTGTTTTTGAGAATATCGATCTTAAATACAGTTAAATAAATAGCTGGAAGATTGGAAATAACATTAGGAAAAAGATCTTTTATGAGACATGATAAAGAACAATAATTCTTTCATATATACATTTAAGTACAAATTCACAGAACTCCTTCTGAAGAAACAATTGATTCACTCCTAAGTTTAAGTACCTATTAAATATTTCCTAGTAGGAGGTTTCATCTATATGTTACATGTCAGTAGCATTACGTCAAATAAGAGTAACTATTTGGACCCATTCTTTGGGGTTGAGGAATGGAGGTGATAGTTATTATGCATGAAGTGGCTGACTGGATGGTGCACGTCGTAGACTGCCTAATGTTGATATTCAAAACAATCATATGAAATATGTGTTACTATAATCACATTTAGATGGGAAAACTGAGTGAGGAGGAAGTCAGGTATGTTTCCTGGCTTACATGTCTAGTACATGATAAAGCCAGAATTTAAATCTGTATGTCTGATTCCAAAATCTTTGTCCACTCTGCTTCTCCCATGCTACCTCCAATAGCTCAAAGTATGAAGAAGGTACAGTGACGCAAATAGGGCCTTCATCTAAAAAGATCAGAGTAATAGCATAATGGATAATAAAATATTTACAATATCAACAGGGTCAGGGGTAAGTGCATTTGTAGAAAAAAAAATGACTGGAAGGAAACACCACAATGAAAACAGTGGTTTCGTTGTATTATATTACGTTTTGCTATTTTAGTAATGGAAAATTTTAAGCTCATGAAAAAGCAAGATAAGTGTATTTTAGGACAAGGCTTTACATCAGATTAAAGAAGATTTCTGGGAGAGAATCAGCAAGAGGCCATCGTGCAGCCTGGACAGAGGGAGGGAACGTTCCACACTGCTGCTCTAACAGAACACAAGCAATGGCATATGGCACTAATTTGTGAAATTACACTTTAATTTCAAACCCAGGTTAGGAAGAGTAGTCATGGCTGGAGAACACTGAAGAAGGCTTCCACCTATTAGCTCAAACAGTCAGGCAGGTACTAAACTGATCCAGCAGGCAGCATGCTAGATGTTGGAGATAGAGAGTTGAACACCGTCATGTACGTAAAAACAGCATATTGTAGGAGCATACTTTAGGGTTGTACTTCTTTATAGATCCTCTGAAGTGGGGCCCTTGAGATATATATATATATATATATGAGCAAATAGAACATAATAGCTTTTCTACTTCCTTCTGCATTGCTTTTTAACCTTCCTTCCTTCCTAATATGTGCATCCTGCCTCAATTCCCTATCTACCTTCTTGCATACTGGCCCAATATAGAGAATATATTAATTATTACTTTCCTTATAATAGCACCTCACCCATCTGTTTTATCCAGAAACCCAGTTTTACATTCCATTTTCAAGGTCAGCGAAAAACAGAGAAGGCCTCAGCATTATGAGTGCTGCCCCATGAGATAGTAGGTAGAATGGCCCATCTGTTAAAACACTGTTCATAATTTTAAATGGAACATTTTAAAGCTCAGTGAAATCATTTCTACTCTCCAGTACAATGAACTTCTATTCTCTTACCTCCTGGAGAGGTTGAACTGAACATGGAAAATCGGGCCTTTTTGGTTCTTGTAGTGAATATAAATGGTGATATCAAATCACCAACTTGGCCCAGGAGATAATTTCTTGTGAGTCGCTGAGGCTGGCTGTTCAATCTTACATGTTTTACACATAATTCCAGACCATTTTGCAGAAGGTTTCTTGGCTTCCATCTTAAGGATCAAAAGCAAGTTTCCTCATGGTTTGTGATTCTCATGCCAAAAGGGTAAATGTGCAGGAAGGTCATAAGCAGTAGCAAAGCTTCTCTCACATCTGCCTTGAGCTTGAGCAGTCAGGCTTGCTAATTTGACCTCCTATTGTCATTTAGAATCTTCTGCCAGGAGAGTTTTTTTCTTTTTTAAAGAAGTGAGAGGCAGATAATTTGTTTAAATTATTTATATTTAAGAAGTGGAAGGAACAGGGAAGAAAAAAGAGATGTCTTGATTTTCTGAGGAGTATGCCATGGATAGACACTTAGGGCACAAAACAGCAGCTACCTGGTTTATGCTGAAAAAAAAAACAAACATGTAAATAGCAATTATTGTGCAGCAGTAGCCCTGAGGAGGATTCTCTGCATACTCAATCTTTCTAAGCACCCCTAAGTGTCTTGGACTCTCCATTACAGAAAATGTGTTTAGGTCTATGAATGGAAGAGCGCACCTGTGTGTGTCCTGTCCCAGTGTTTCTGTGATGATGTGGATGTCCTATGAAAATATTAGTAACAGATGGCAATGTTTCTCTAGCCTTGATGTTATTCTCATAGTATTTACAGGTCGCATCAACTGGTCAGATGTGGCTACAAAGTAAAGTCATAATACTTCAAAAATTATTCTTCTTGAAAGCTCATGTATATGTATTCTCAAAAGACACACTCAGGCAGTTAGAACCAGTGTATTTCTATGTAATGACCTGTTCTCCCAAACATGGTTGTCTCATTGCCCAGGGATTAAAAGGGGAAATGCTTCTAACAATCAGCAAAGGCAAAAACTGCAAAGGGATGGAATAAAAAAAAAACCATAAAGCAGACATAATGATTTACAGAGGCAAGCAATCTGAGGTTATCTATTTGAGGAGCCAATAATTACATGTATACAAATAATCTTTGGAGGAATAGTACAAAAATGGATGTTTCAGAGGTTGACCCAAGTCATAATATTTAAAATCCCTAGTGTAAGGAGGCACAGAGCAATATAATTTTAGAAAATCACCCATCCAAAATATATTTTAAAGGATTTTCACCTAAAGATGACATTCCTTTTACCAATGATGTAGACTACATTAGTTCTCCTTCCCTTTAGGTCTGAAGTTCAGTTAGCTCAGTCTCTTTTGTACTAGGTAGAGTTTGTGGCTATTCCCTTGAATAGTCCAGATGACTTTGCTCTTAACAAGGCAGTCCCAGAGTAGTTAACATGAAAGCCACGTGTGAGGGTGTGTGTGGGAGGGAGAGAGGAGTTGGTGGGAAGAGGAGGTCATCTGTGCTAATGGAAAATAAACTCAAAGGGCATATCCAGCATCACCTTTGTATGGGAAGAGCATCTATTTGGGGTTTTCATTTTCTGATAGGCAGTGATAGAATTACAACTAATATAATAAATAAATAGAACTTTAGAGAGTGCAAGAAAAGAATCCCAGCCCTGGCCAGTGATTTGATTTGCTCTAGCACATCCATCTGACTGAGCCATCTGGCAGTGAACCAGTGGTATCAGAACAGCAATGGGTGTAACCTTGAGGAAGGGTTGCCCCTTGACAAACAGACTGGTGGGAAAAGTGCAGGATGTGGCAAGACTGAGGATGAACAACTATCCACCCTGCAGAGGATAGCGACATAGGGAGAGAAATGCGTGGTGCACATCACTTTGTCCTGAGTGTTTGGCCAGGCCAGGTATGAAAGGCACTTAGGCTGGATACCTAGGAATGTCTAACAGCAGGTGGAGCAGGCAAGAAAGGAGGCCAGGCTCTAGTTAAGAAGAGATTAATTATGGTTTGGAGAGAGCTGTCCATTCATAACTGGCGGGCTACAGAGGGCAGAAATCATTCCCCAATGGGAGAAATTGTTAAGAGATTGAGTGAACTCCAACTATGAAGGCCTATCAACGGACAGAAGGCAGGGCGTAGAGAATGTTGTGATTTAGAAGTTATACAGCCAAGTACCTTCTAGGTACACCTGTGCTGTCAGACTATTAGAACAAGAGCCAATTCAAAGTTCTATTCAACTTTGAGACTTAGGCTGCCAGTATTCCCACCAGGTCACATTTGGCTAAGACAGCTTTACACAGAGAAATGAAGGTCATCAGCATAAAGACAGAGATGTTCAGAGCTTAAGGAGGAAAAGTAGACAATATCATATGAGGACAGAAAGAGGCACGGGGATGCATAACACTGTATTAAGATGAATATTACAAAGCTGAAACAAAGAGTTTTTAAATTCTAATTTGCATTTCCAAAAGTTATATGCACAGATACTTGCACTGCTTCATTTCCTCTCTACATGGGGGTCTGGGTGGCTATCTGGAAGAAAAGAAAAAAGCTTATCAATTTTTTTTTTAGTGCCCTATTGAACACATCACTGCATTTTAATCTGGGACAGATGGTGGAAAATGGCATCTGGTTAATCAGGGGTTCATAGATTATTTGGTGATACAACTTAACTGTGCTGATGAAGAAATGAGAAATTTTGTCTCTTCCCTAGAGCAGCATTATAAAGCATCCTTCCTGGTGTTTAAAATTGATTGTGCATTCTATTGGTTAAAGAGTGGCATTTTGAAAATAAAATTAGGGCTGATTTGCATTTGTGTTGAAACAGTTGCACAGGCATTTGATAAGAATAGTTCTTTTTTCTTTTAGAACACATTTACAGTTTGCATTTATTTATATTAACTCAATGTTTTATTCAACATTGTTTTAAAAGACAAGACAAACATGGATATAATTACTCATAAAGAAAATAACTCTTATGAGTGAGAATGATTACTATGTATTTCATTTGGGAAAATAAAACACAATTTTTTTTATTAATAAGGACACAGGCAATACTTCAGTAAATGTACCAAGGTAATTCAATTTTATAACGGACAATTTTAAAAGGCATTTTGAAACATTATATATTATTAATTTTTACATCTAGAATTGTACTTGTAGATGCCATCAGAATACTCGATCAATATCTGTTTATTCAGATTTAAGCTCCATGACTTAGTTGCATTACATTTAATTTATGTGTATTTCCTTGATTCACAGTCTGTAGTAAATTCTGATTGCTTACACCTGGGCAAAATGTCTTTAAAATTGTCAATAACTTCCAGGCAGTAAAAAAAATGAATTGCATGTTGATGGTAAAAGAAAACAAACTGCTACATGTGATGCATGCAGATTTATTAACTAAATAAGTCTTCATTCCTCCTCCAAGTATGATTGAAATTTATAGTCTTGCTAGAAAACTCTATTTTCCAAGAAAGTGTTTGCAAAGACATTTGTACAGTAATTAAAATAGTTACTTTTCCAGTAATTATAATAGGGAACTTGGAAATATGCAAAATAATAATCTTATTTTATTTATGGTATATCATATTATCTTTGAAAAGCAACTCAGGTGACATGATGTTTAAAAGTTTTAATCTCCTAAATGAAAAATATGTTGCTATTGTAGAATTGGTCTTGTAAGATGGTGTCAGAGACAAAAATCATAGGAAAGTTCATAGATTTTTTTAATTTTTAAGTTATTTCACGTAAATCATCAATGGACTCTAGGAAGACATAATCCCTCCCACCCCTACCACACACACATACGAAAAACTTTACATTTTAAAAGGCCAGGCAAATACTACTGAGACAGAGAAATATATAGTAAGCACCTGGTTGTAAATTTAACCATAACCATCCAGAAAGATCAGTTATAAAATGGACATTCTGGGCTGAGTATCAATGGTTACATAAATTGAACTTTGTCAGGAAAGGGAGGGAACTGAGTTTCTAAGTGGGCCAGAGGTGAAAAGCAGGTTTTGTGAAACACCTAGGGATGCTGCAGTTGAATAGCCTGCAATTGGAAGGTAGATCTAAGAAGTAAAAATACTAAAAAAAAAAAAAAAAAAAAAAAAAAAAAATTAAGATACTACTTTGTTATAAAATACCTTGACGATTCTGTGCTGATGATACATGAATCAGCCTCCTCCCATCAGTACAGTGAACTTGGTCAATGAACTGACTCTAATGTGTGCTTCTTTGCCCCAAACAGTCATAGGGCAGAAGGTCTAAGCTTTAGAAGTTGAATCCTATGGGAGAGGGCATAGCATTCATGTACCATGACAGACACATGTTCATTCTCTGCCCCATAAGGGGCAAACACCATTCTGGGTACTTAGGGCATGAACGTGAAAAAAATAGACCAAAGTTTTGAGGTGTGGGGTATATATTACAAGAAGAGAAGAGAGAGCACAAACATATAAACAAATAAATAAACATGTTCCAGATGGCAATAAATTTTATAAAAATAACAAAACAGGGTAGGGAGGATAGAAAATACAAGGATGCTATTTTAGAGAAGGTGATCAGGAAAGATCTTCCAGGCACAGTGACATTTGACAGAGATGTAGAGGAAGTAAACCATGAGCTATGTGGATGTTCTAGGGAAGTGTACTACTGGCAAAGGAAACAGCAGGAACAGCTCGGAGAGTTTCTGTTTAAGGACCAGCAAGGCAGGCAGCAAGTGAGGCTGCAGGGCTGTGGGCAGAAGGAGGATGATGGAAGATGATGGCTCAGAGCTGGTGATAACAAAGAGGCGAGATCAATCAGAACCTTTTGGCCGCTCTAGGAAACTTGGCTTTTCTTTTCACTGAGGCAAGAGGCCACTGGACATTTTTGAGTAGAGTGATGTGATCTGGTTTCTCTTTTAAATAGCTTATTTTAGCTACTCTGAGGAAACTGAAAAGAAGGAAGACAACAACAAGCTGTTGCAACAATTCAGACCAAGGGTGCTAAGAGTTTGGACCACATTGCTAACAACAGTAGTGAGAAATCAGTGCCTATTCTGATGTGAGTCAATGGGATTTGCTGATAGACTGGGGGTAGTGTGTGATAGGAGAGAGAAGTGAAGAGAAGTAATCCATGACGCCAAGTTTTCTGATCCACATAATTAAAAGGATGGAGCTACCATTTACTGAAATGGAGTTGATAATGGGAAAAAAGTAAATCTGAAGTCCATTTGGGGGCCATAATTATTTTGAGATACTTCTTAGCTATTCGTGGACAGATCAAAAGATGTGACATGCTTATCTTGAAAAAAAAAAAAAAACTAAAGAATGAATGAACTAGAGGAATATGGTAAGATTACCAGATAGGCCTAAAAATCACCAGAGTTTGTGAATTTCCTCCAGTGGATTAAAAACTCCACCAGAAATAAGAACAATTGAGTTAGAGCAAGAAGGTAGGGATGTTTGGTGAAGTGGTTAAGGTTTGGAAAAATACTTAGAAATATTTTATCTTCTAAACATTATAGGGGTAGGGATGTTATGGCCAACTGTGTGGCTTGGAAAAGTTCCTTAATTAATTCTCATTGCTTCTACTCAGTACGCAGTTCTTATAAATCAGAGAGAACATCTCTTTCAGGTTGTATCAGGAGCATTCTCAAACTAACACTCATAAATCGGCAATTTAGGCAGGGAGGAAAGGAATATTCACCGATTACCTGCTATATTCCAGACACCGTGCATGCCGCTTCACACATATTATCTTAATTGATCTTCCCGACACATTTTCGATGTGGAAACTCTTATTTTCATTTTAGAGGTGAATAAAGGTTAAAGGTTAAAGATTCACCTACTTAACATAGCTGGGCAGGGATAGAGCATGGAATTTGCCTTACCTGCCATCATTTCCATCTGAAGAAGTTGAAAAGCTGTCTCCAAATATTTTGGTATGAGATGGGGTACATAAATACTTGTTAATAACTTGTTCGACTGCATTATGTCTAGACAAGAATATATTAAATTCGGAAAAGAAATAATTTTAGGAGTGTAAGCTTTATGAGGATTTAGTCCATGCTGTCTTATATACAGGTGTATTCTATTCATTCACTCACCTAATATTCATTTGGTGCTTACAATAGGAAAGGAGGTTTTTTGTTTATTTGTGTTTGCCTGTTTGAGATGGAGTCTCGCTCTGTCACCCAGGCTGGAGTGCAGTGGCTCAACGTCAGCTCACTGCAACATCCACCTCCCTGTTTCAAGCAATTCTTGTGCCTCAGCCTCCCGTGTAGGGGGGACTACAGGTGCGCGCCACTATGCCTGCCTAATTTTTGTATTTTTGGTAGAGACAGGCTTTCGCCAGGTAGGCCAGGCTGGTCTCAAACTCCTGTCCTCAAGTGATCCACCCACCTCAGCCTCTCAAAGTCCTGGGATCAGAGGCATGAGCCAGCACGTGGGGCTAGGCTAGGAGTTATGTGCTCCATAGTTAAATAAGATACAGTTCTTGTTCTTGAGAATTTCCTATTTTATATATATAGACAGCCAGATAATAGCACACTGTTTCTACTTTAAAGGCTGCACTCCTCTTGCCTGTTTAATATTCAACTGCCTATAATCCAGGGCTTTGCAAAAAATCATTCACTGCTTTTTTGCAGTGATCAGTTAATCAAGCAGAGCCACAAAGGGACTCAAGCAAGGGTAGTAGAAGGCTGGCTTCTGGAATACAGGAAAAGCCTCTGTTTGCCAGAGCCCAAGGTTTTAAATACAGACAAAGTCAAAGGCTGGGAAGAAAGCAATGTGCGCTCATAGATAGCATGGACCCAGGAGATCAGCCCCAGGGATGGAGATCAGATGGAAGCCAACATTGCTGGTCTAAATAGAGGCAGACCAAGTTTAGAAATTGAAGCACAGAAGTTCAACTGTTTCAAAGAGATTTACTGCAGCTTTGAAAAACACGAACTGAAAATCAGGGGTGAGTGTGGCAGGGCCCACAAGCTCTCAAAGAAAGAGAGGGAAGCGCTAACTGGGCAGCTTCTTTGGCTTCTTAGGCTTTAGACCCTTCTGAAGATGCTGTATATCTTTCTCTATCAGGACCCAGGGAAGTTGGGTTGTTCCCTGGGAATACTTACTGCTGCACCAGGAGGAAGAGACAGCTACAGTGCCCTAAGTCCCCAGCTCCAGTAGCCCTTAAGGATCCCTGGTCTACTTCAGCTCCTCTTTCGAAGCTGCCTCACTCTGAGTAGTTTTTTCTCCCTCTAAGAGAGGCCTATTACCCTTGCTGCTGCTGCTGGTGGTGGTGGGGGTGTCCTAGATTTGTCTAGTTGTTTGAGTTTGGGGGCTAGATCTTGTATTGGAGTTGAACTTCAACTTTTTTTAAGGGGCAAGGCTCTTGACTGAAATTTCTTTGGTAAACTCTTGTTCCTAGAAAAAATCCAGCATTTGGCTCCCTTTCATTGACCTTTTCATTCTGTGGATACTAAGCCTCATTGATCTCCCAGCTAGATTCACATGCCTTGGGATATTGCCTGGTTCTAGGAGGGACAGTAGGTCATATCATGATAGCAGTGGATGAGCATGGTGCTGTGAGGCTGGCTGAAGTGGCCCTCGATAAAGGTCAGAAACAATAGGCAGAAGGGTACACCATTTATACCTACTGGTAAAGTCCATTGGTAGCCCATGGCTGGACAGAAAAGCAATAGCCCCTTTCAGAGGATGGAAGTTAAAGTACTAGTTATAAAACTAAAGAAAATATTTAGGCCACTGGAAGTAATGGTTCATTATGATTATTAAAACAACAATGACAACCTGCAGGCTAAGGATGTCTTTAAGATATTGTAGAATGCCTGAGTAGATAAAATATGAGGCAAAATAAATGGCAGGGAATAAATGGATCTGATAAGTGGATGACTTACTATCCAAGATGTAGCATAATTTCCACAAGGCTATATTCTAAAATATGCAGTTAATGCCATAAGCACAAAAGTATAAAATGCACTGGGATCTCAATATGCCAAATGCACTTTAGAGTCCAGTGGGCTTGATCTTGCTGAGGATGGCCATGCCTCAACAGATTTTAGTCTCCTAGACCTTAGGTCATTTGTATTATCTGATAGCATAAAGGTATGTGGCATCATGGAATGAGCTAAGTACCACATTGGAGAAATCTCCCCGGATACCCAATGATCCCCAGGACATTTCATTCTGTTCATATCCCAGTACCAGCAGAAGACAGAGCAATCTCAGATGCAGCCTCTGCCAATCTCGAGATTCCTTCTGCCAGATCTTTATGTCATCTCAGAAGAATAGTATTTTTTTTTTGTATCCTTGTCCTAGATCCACTTCACACTGTGTTAAGCAAAGTGGCTGAGAAAATGCAGAGTTATTTCAGGCTGAGACCTATATCGGATAATCATAAGGGCTGTGTACACCATAGGATGGAATTCACTTGCTTTATTTTTCAACATTTAACACAGTGAAAGATTTAAACATAAATTATTTGATTGGCTCACTCACTTACTTGCAAGGAAGCTCCTGAATCACTGTATGATCCCCATGCTCCCCCAACCAATTCCTGAAACTTGGAACCGAAGCATTATTTTGGAAACACCAATGCAACAGAAATACATGCTATTACCCTGGGGCCAGTACACCTTATTCTGACCCATGCTTCCCTCTCTCTAGGATTGCTCTCCACGGGGAAATGTATCTTGTTCTTTGGCCATTCTCATGCAGAGACACTGTTCCTTCCCCATGTACCTGTTAGGATTCAGAACAAGAAGTCACTTAACTCTTTTTACGTCGAATAGTTAAGAGTACACAATTATTCAGGAAATTGTAACTTTGATGTATTTAAATATAAGAAGCATCTGCTTGGAATCTGACCCACGTTTGTAGTTCATGGGTCAATCAGAAAATTAGGCAGGGTTTTAAATGATGTTTTCACTGCTCTGCAAGGTGCAGGCTAAAACCTTTCCTCTTCACTCATAGGTGGGAATTGAACAATGAGAACACATGGACACAGGAAGGGGAACATCACATTCTGGGGACTGTTGTGGGGTGGGGGGCGGGGGGAGGGATAGCATTAGGAGATATACCTAATGCTAAATGACGAGTTAATGGGTGCAGCACACCAGCATGGCACATGTATATATATGTAACTAACCTGCACATTGTGCACATGTACCCTAAAACTTAAAGTATAATAATAAAAAAATAAAATAAAATAAAATAAAAAGAAAGAACTCACCCAGTGCAGCTCCCTTCTTCCAAGTGTTGACTCTTCTCCAGAATTTGCTTGCTTTTGTCTCTCGCCAGTGCCTTCAGGTGGCTGTTTTGTAGTTTTTCCAGCATTTATAGTTATTTTCTTTGGGAAGGGCAGTCTGATTGAAGCTTATTCACACATTTTGAAGGCATCCCTGAGGAAACAGGAAGAAAAATTTGCACTGTTAACCCTTTGCCTTGCGATCAAAAAGTTTGTAATTATTATATACATATCCTTTCTTGGCTTTGATTCTTTTGTGATATGTGTGTCAGAAAAAAAAAAGAAGAAATAAAAGAAAGGCAAGAAGATGAATGGAAGAAAGAGATAAAATAAGGCTTTTGATTAATGTATAATGACATATCCACAATTACAGTATCAGGCAGAATAGTTTCCTGTTCCTAAAAGTTTCCCATTCTCTGCCTATTCATCACTTCCTCCCTCCTTTCAAATTCATGACAATCATTCATCCTTCTACTGTCTCCATAGTTTTGTCTTTTCCAGAATGTCACATATTTGGAATTATGAAGTATGTAGCCTTTTCAGACTGACTTCTTTTACTTAGTAATATGCACTTAGGATTTATCAATGCATTTTAATAGCTTCACAGCTCATTTTCTTTTAGCACTAAATAATATTTCGTTGTATGGATATACCACACTTTATTCATCCATTCATCTCCTGAAGGGCATCTTGGTTGCTTCCAAGTTTTGGCAATTATAAATACAGTGCTGTAAACATCTCTGTGCAGGTTTTTATGTGGACATACGTTTTTAATTTATTTGGATAAACACCAAGAAGTGCAATTGCTGGATCATACGGTAAGAGTATATTTAGTTTTGTAAGAACTGTCAAACCAAATGGTACAGTGGCTGTACCATTTTGTGTTCCCACCAGCAATGAATGAGAGTTTCAGTTGCTCCACATTCGTGTCAGAATTTAGTGTTATCATTATTTTCAATTTTAGCATTCTACCAGATATGTAGTTGTATCTCATTGTTGTTTTAATTCTCAATTCCCTAATGACATATACTATTGAGAATACCCACAATTTTACAACATGGTATACTACCACTGCTGCCATTACTTGCAAACACCTAGTTAAAACTTTCTATGTACTAGGCACTATGCAGAGTACTTTTCATATATTTTCTCATAACCCTACGAGTCAGATACACCATTATTATGCATTTTCAGGAAAAAAATCCTGAAGTTGAGAAGAGTTAAGTACACTGCTAGTAAATGTTGAATCTATGACGCTGGGGTCTTTCTGACTCCAAATCTCATCTTTTAACCACTACATACATTTTTCCTCAAAGTGTGATCCCGAATCCCATACTTCAAACCAAGCAGGATGGTGATAAAAATTCAGAATTCTGAATTGTAAAATATTGCATTAGAATCTTCATGCTGGGTGTGGATCTGGAGTGGGAGAAACTGAAACACACTCAAGATTAAGAGCCATTATACTACCATTCTAGGATTACTCGAAGTCCAAGTAGCAGTTTTGATACTTTGTTTCTATCTTGTATCATGTATTTCTCTTTGAAGTATATTTACAAAATCCCTGTTATTTATATAAAATAAATTATACTAAAAACATTGAGATTATATCTTAAATGTAGGTGAATATATAGTTTTCTATGTTCCCTAATTAAGGATGCTATAAAATCTTTTCCTCATACACTCTACCTTAGAGATAAATTTGACAACAGGGGAAAAAAAAAAAACAACCTCGAGTCTTTCAAATATCTACTATGTATCATTCTGGTATAGTCTGATTGTATCCTCCCAAAATTCATATTGATTCAGTTGATTCAATTGAAATCATAATCACCAAGTTGATGATATTAGGAGGTGGGGTCTTTGAGAGGTGATTAGGTCATAAAGGCAAAGCCCTGAGTGGAATTACTGTTCTTATAAAAACACTTTAGACAGGTAGCTTGCTCCTTCCCACATATGAGGACACAGCAGGTGCCACCTATAAACTAGAAAGTGGACCCTCGCCAGACTCCAAATGTGCCAGAGACTTGATCTTAGACTTCACAGCCTGTAGAACTGTGAGAAATCATTTTCTGTTTTTTATAAGCCACCCAGTTTATGACATTTTTGTTATAACAGTGCATAGGGACTAAGATATACTTTGTGCTAGGTAAATTGAACAAAGATCATACCAAATACTTCTAGCATTATGACAGATTTATCTAACTATAAAAGTCTATTTAATGTCGTTTTATTGGATGGAAAAACTGAATATATTTGCATATTTTACTATACTATATATACTATATATATGCATATATAGTGTGTGTATATATATAGTATTGTATATATGCTATACCATAGTATACCATAATATACTACATATATAGTATATTTCACGATAATTTCAGGCTAAGGAAAAAGTCATTATTGCAGGCACTCTATGAAAACTTATTAATTAAAATAAACAGACATGTTTTTGTTGTGGCTTTTGATCCAAGACAAGACATTATTAAGGATATTAACAATAGAATTGCCTGTGTTCAAATCTCTGCTATGCTTCTAAGTCATTGTGGAACTTTGGGCAAGCTTTAGTAACACCTTTTAGGTCTTGGTGTACAAGATTCTAAATGGAGATAAGGAAAGCCTCTACACTCTAGAATTATTGAATTAAAGGAGTTAGACAGTGCCTGATTCACATTATACTTTCAATAAATGTGAGCTATTATTATTTTCATTATTATTATTCTCAAAAACAAAAGGAAATTGAGTAACAGAGTGGTAGAGTGGAAAGCGTGGCAGAATGGTAGTGTGAGACCCAAAAATATAAGAATATAAATGATATGTGACAAATCCATAGTGTAGAAATTGAATACTCTGAGAATGAAAAACTGAAGAAATCACTTTTCATGGGAGTGGGCAGGGATGCATGGCTTCTTTGAGGAATCTAAATAAACTTGAAAATGTTTTTAGGTGAAAAGAATGTGTATTTGGAGTGGATGTCCTCAGGGATGTACAAATTTAGAGACTTTAGCTCTTTTTGGTAGATAGGGAAACCCCGTTTGGACCCTCAGACACAGCCCACTGTGTCAAGACTTGGCAATTTGAGGAGAGATGGTGTCAAGGTAGGTGCTGTATAAGAAAGGAATCTTAGACACATGAAGAGAAGCCATCCTTTCTTGAACCCCATTTGCAGCTACAAAATTGCAGACTGAGTACTACAGTCTTTTAAACAAGCCTGTCACTGAGTTCACAAAGGCAAGAGGCATTGTCACCTGAAGCCACAAATCCTGCTAAGAGCATTAATTGTTCTCTATATAACATAGGCTGTTTAGTTCTGCAATCAATAAGAAAGAGTGGGCTCAGATCAGGACCTATTGCTTTTCTTCAGGTAAACTTGGAATTCAACAAATAGACCACAATCTACAATTTTCTCCATAAGGCAGAATGCAGGCTAAGTTGATACATATTTACAAGCATGGAAATGAGTTAATGACCTTGAGATGAGGATCTCAGTGACATAAACCCCCATTCTCTTTACAACTTCTTGAGTTTGTCTTGGTGTTTGCTAACTCTGAGGAGGTCTAAAAGAATAAACAGTGTCTGCATTCTGCTTTCAATGCCATAAACACATTTTGGAGAGGCAGGAGCAATTTTATAGCTGTACATACACTGGAGAGAGAGCATGACCCTGGAGAGCTAGAGGTTTATCATCACTTTAAAAAATAATGGTTGAGAAGGAATTGCTCTAAGTGTAGTCTCTGTCTTTTATTTTATATTTTTTAATAGCTACCTCTTATTGAGTGTTTACTAAGAGACAAGAACTCTATTAGGCACTGTTTAAACTTTTATTTTAAAATGAAACACAGATACAGCAAACCACACAAAATTATTATAAGGCAAATACCATCTTAACCGCTACGCATGTCAAAGAATGAAATCTTGCTAGCCATCCAGAAGTCTCTATACATTCTCTGTCCTCTCTGTCTCCAAAAATAACCACCCTCTTGACTTTCATATTAATCTTTTTTTGCATTTTTATTGTTTACCATTTAAGTGAACATCCTAAGGCATTATAATGTCATCAATTTTCAAATTGATATGTCTTTTAGCTTCAATATCATCAATGTGTCATCTCCCTTGTTCCCACAAACTCCTTTCCCTTAAAATTAATCTGTTGACAAATATGGGCCACTTGTGGATTTTACCCCAGGGTGGATTTGATGAGTATATTGATATACTCATGGTGCCAATTTACATGTTCTTCTCTTCTCTGCATTTCCAGCAAGTGGCAGCAGGAACCTTGATCAAACTCAGCTTTTATATTGTTTGCAACACTATAGGTAGCACTGAATCTTTCATCAGGAGGCAAATTGATGCTCAACGGCAGTTGGTTATTTTCTTGGTGATTATAAAATGGTGATACTCTAATTCTATCCATTATTTTTACACATTAGCTCAAATAATTTCATATGTAAGGTAATTCTTCCTTTCACCTACAATTTGGTTACCCAGGGGCATAACTCCAAAAAGGACAGAACTGAAGTTTTTATGATAGGTTTTGTGATAATAAATTGGTTCCCTATCATCCTCATCAATTAGGATTTAAATTTATCTGATGGATCCCAATGCACTGTAATTTTTATCCTTATTGAAGTGCTATTTTTTCCTTCTTCATCCAGGTGGAGGCTTTTCAAGGTTAACTTTTGATTCCTCTTGAACTAGTAGTCTTTGATACTTCCCATGTTAGTTCATAACAAAATGTTTCAGATTTATCTGGTGTGCTCCTTTTCTTATATCTGTATTCAGCACTTTTCTAAGAAATTCTGTTTTGTTTGTCTGTTTGTTTGTTTGTTTGTTTTAACACCACAACCTGGTTGCAAGTGATAGTCATTGCTACTAGGGTTGCCAAAGTTAGCACATAAAAATACAAGCCACGTAGTCACCTACTTGGGACATACTTATACTAAAAAATTATTCGTTGTGTATCTGAAACTCAAATTTAATTGAGCACCCTGCATTTTATTTGACAATTAATTTATACTAGGTCAGTCATTATTTTTAGACCGAGTTAATCTAGGTCCTCTGAGAAGCAGGTGCAAGTGGATGTGCAAGAGAGTTATTGGAGAAAATGCCTGTGAGGGAATAAAAGAGTGAATGGAAAAAGCAGGAATAACCCTTTGACTGTGATGTAGGCTTTACTGCTGTGAAGGTCAATGGGAAGAAAGGAGAATAGATAGAAAGAGTCTCAAACTGTAGTTCAGGTCTAAGAAATATTTAGGAGGGTTCTCAAACCAAAGCTGTCCAACGGAGGATTCCCACAAGCCCTATGAAGGGGACTGCTTCAGTATCTCTGCCGCCTGCACTCAGTCATTCGCCTAGCACAAGCTGTGGGAAGCATAGCCTCACTGCTAATGCTGTTGTGCATTAGGAATGAGATAATAATGATATCTCCAAATGAAAATGTCCAATTCAATTTCAGGGCTATTTTCTAAAGGAACATCTTCTATTTGCCTCTTATCTATAGTGAAAATTATAGTTCTTAAAGCCTTGGCGATTAGAGAGTTAGAACATCTCATAATTACTCATTTACTTTTCCAATATTATACACACAACAGAAAAAAAAGTAACTATACAAATATTACCACCACCCATTATAATTATTGAAAATATGTTTTCTTGCATATGCTATCTCATTCTCTCCATTTGGTTGTACTAAATCTACATTGGTAGATAATATAGCTGTTATGTACTCTTTCCTACTTAACACTCAATTTGTCTTATTCTACTATCACTAAATGTGTAATCCACCATAATTCTTAGGCTTATGTCTCTCCAGTTCTGGAATGTTCGCAGTGGCTCTTAGTGACATGAGGTATTGGACAATTGAAACATGTCTGGTCTAAATTGGTATGTTCGTAAGCATAAAATACATACTGGATATTGGAAATTTACTATACGATGTAAAGTCTCATAGACAATTTTCATATATATTAGATATCAAAATGATAAAACGTTTAGTGTGTTGGGATAAATAAAATATACCATTGATTTAAATTCTTCTGTTTCTTTTTACTTTCTTCAGGTGGCTACTAAAAAATTTAAAATTACACACTTTTTTTTATTTAATGGCGATGTTCCTGTTAATTTTGTTTTCTAAAACTGATTTCTAGAAGACTCCTCAAAAAACTCCCACGAGGACAATATTCCTTGGGTGATTGCATGTTGGTAACAGTCTTTCTATGACCGTTATAATTGAAATTCAGTTTTACTGAATATAAAACCTCCGGTCCATATTGTCTTTTCTTGAATGTCTTAAATATGTTACTTCATTTTTTTCTCTCTAAGATAAAGTGTTACTGTTGGAAAGTTTAATAATAATAATCTTAGTTCCTTTTTAACTCAAGTATTCTTTTGCCCTACATGCCCAAGTAATTCTTTTTTTCCTCTTTCTTAATTTTACTTCGTGTTGATTGTACTACGTTAATATTATCAGTTACACTATGAGATTTTTCAGTAAGTTTAATTGATTTTTTTAAATTTCAGGATTACTTTCTTATACTTTTTTTTTTTTTTTGAGACAGAGTCTTGCACTGTCACCCGGGAGTGCAATGGTGTGATCTCGGCTCACTGCAACCTCTGCCGCCTGGGTTCAAGTGATCCTCCTGCCTCAGCCTCCTGAGTAGCTGGGATTACAGGCACCTACCACCACACCTGGCTAATTTTCTGTATTTTTAGTAGAGCTGGGGTTTCACTATGTTGGCTAGGCTGGTTTTGAACTTCTGACCTCGTGATCCACCCGCCTCGGCTTCCCAAAGTACTGGGATTACAGGCGTGAGCCACCGCGCCCAGTCAGTATTGAATTTTTTTTTTTTTTTTTTAAATCCTTGCTTTATTCTCTCACTCAGAAACTCCTATAACATTCATGGATCTTTTTGCCATCTATAATACATGTCACATTTTCTTGAAACCTCTTTCTTTATTTTTTAATTTCTTTTTAGTGTTAAATATTTTTCTCCTTCTCAACTTGATTTCCTTTAAAGTGTTATTTTTGTACTTATATCCTCTTATTTTCCTTCTAGATTAGTCTTATTCCTACTATGCTGTTTCTTTTCTTTCTAATTTTTTCTTGAGTTTGATCTCTTTTTCTACTTCTGATTAATGTTTTTTTCATGTGTTGCATGATGATTTTCTTAATGTCCTTTAGCTTATTTTAAAATAATATGTTACACTTTTGAAAACATTTTGAGCATGACATTTTTTGGCAGGCTTATTTTGTCAATAGCAGAAGTTGGTAAATTTCCTGTAAGGTTCAAGACAGTAAATATTTTACACTGTGTAGGCCATATGGCCTGTCACAAATACTTAACATTGCCATTGTACCATGAAGATAGTCATAAGCAATATGTAAATGAATGAGAGTAGCTATGTACCAATAAAACTTTATTTCTAAAAACAGAAAGTAGACTGGATTTGGCCTCTGGGCTACAATTTGCCAGTCTCTGGTCCATAGGAATTTCATTCTATGTTTCCTTGTAGCAACTTTGTTTTGGGGGCTAAACTTTACATACATGGCATTTGACCTTGATAGTTTTCTGTTGCTCATTTTTGTATAAATTTAGTTTTTTTGAACTTTTAGATAGGTAAAATTTAAGACTGACTTTTCAACCTAAAGGAGATCCTTCTTCTCTTGTTATGTAACAGTAAAAAATAGATATATTGGCTTGTTTTCATAGATTTCTTATATCTGTTTACCTGGAAACAGGTTTGTCTGGATTTTCTCTTTCCTGCATTTTTATTATGTCTATTCAGTTCAATTTTGACTCCACTTCTAGTAGTTTATCCTCAGTATGGGGTCCTGTTTTGGAAAGATGCCTGGAAGTTTGGTTTCAAGAGTTCACAGGATCTAGACTGCACCAGCCACCTAAGACCTTGACATAGACCTGCTAAGAACAACGAAACAGCTGAGATTTTATACTGCTTTCGAGCTAATGAGTTAACCCGCCAGGTTTATGGATGTCGGCAAAAGACATGAGACTGAGGGTCAGAGACAAAGACTTTGATTACTCATAGTATAATGAGTAGGATGAACATGAACGTATTTGTGTGAGTTCTTCTTCTCCTCAAGTACCATGGGAGGGGTGGTTAAGCCAGATGGATGCCTACCCACACAGTAGATTGCAGTTTATAGAAGAGGAACCCTGAGCTTAAGGAACCCAAATCTTTTATAATGGGGAGTAAGCATGCTTGTTTTTTGTTCCAGAGGAAGACATTATCTTTTTTATACTGAAGAGTAATAATGCTTGTCCTTTGCTCCAGAGGAAGATACTAGTCCTTCTTTCCAGGTTAATTGCTGCACAAATATTCTTTAAAAGATATTATGAAACAGGGTATTTTCTTCTGATAAGAAATGCAGAAATATGAGGGACCAATTTCCTGTTGGGAAAGGGGCTCCCCACAGGGCCCATTTTACTTACTGTTGGAATGCACAAAACCTCTCCTAGTTCCACTCAGTGTTCTTATGTTGGTCCACTGTAGTTTCTAGTGAATATGCATTGACTATTTGGGGGTTCCTTTCTTAAATATTTTGGAATTATCACAACTGTAATTTGCCCTACTGCTTTCTTCTGCATTCGCTCACATAGACACAAGGGCACCCACACTGTGTGGCTTTTGGTGTTTACGGATTTGCATAGGTATCTAGTTATTTAGAAGTGGTGTAAATGTTGTACATTTGGTTCTGATATCTAACTCTCTATCTAGCCTAAACCCATGCTGTCATCACAGCAGCCTATCTTCCCAAAATAACCCTTTCAAAAAAAGTATGCCAAGCCTGATTTTACCTTTTTTGAAGTCCTCATTTTGAGCATAAACTTTATTTTTCCCTAAAATACTTATATTTTTCCCTAAAATACTTATTTCTAAGATCTTCCTAAGTTGCATAAAAATACTTGTCTCTCCTACCCCTCCCCCATACTAAGTGGTACTAAGTTGTTATTATTTTAAGTGGAGGGGCCAGTGTTTTCTTTCTTTGCTTTCTATAACATTCTGTATCTTATTTTCTTGCTATATTTGTATACCCCATCTATCAGCAATTCCCCTTACCCTCTTTCCAAATATGTTGTCAAAAACTAGCAAAGCAGATAAACAAGCTTATTTAATATGTGTGCAGAGGATGTAAAGCAAAAATAACTATCTTCTGAGATTGAGCATAATCTTAGAAATTTCTATTGACTTTATGGTCCTTTTGGCAGTATATATAGTCTAGAGGAATTTAAGCTGTATTTACAACAACAAATATTTTATTCAATTTCAATATTTCCTCAGCATTTTGCCCATTATAGCTCTTCCTCCTCCAAATTTAGTATAGTGTTTATATATTAGGTAAGAAATAAATTAGGAGTGATAGTGCAAACATAATTCTCTCCAAATTCTCCTGTGAGCTCTCCACACTGGAAGCTTGGTACTTCATAACACGTAGTACCTGCTCCTAAGCAGTAGAAAATTCCATGCTTATGTGGCTTTTACTTAATGTTTTAGAACTAAGCAATATCTGATGGGTTCTTACTCATATCCAACATCAGTAGATCAGATGCTGATATGATGAATCTTGATAAGATGAATCTTGATATTCAGAGGAATATCAAGACTATGTAATTCCTACATGTCAAGTAGAGAAAAGTAAAATATTCTGGGACAACAGAAAGAGAAAATATATTTTCCCTGGATGATCCTATTCAGTAAAATAAAAAATACAAGATTATAGGAGATGCTAATAGAGCTTAATATTGAGAGGGTGAATAAAGATTTTTTTTTCAAAGAGCATTTCCTCTGAGGCTCCCCCTACTTAGGCAAGGAGACTGATGTAGACCCCTACCCACCACCCCCTGAGCACACACACACAGTTAACTCCAGTCCCCAACAGAATTCCTCTCCACTAAGCATTGATATTAGTAGAAAAGATAAGATGCCCCATATGACAATTAGGATGCTGAACAAGCTATTAGGTTGGTGTAAAAAAATTGCGGTTTTGCCATTACTTTTTTTTTTTTTTTTTGAGACAGAATCTCACTCTGTCACCCAGGCTGGAGTGCAGTGGCGCCATCTTGGCTCACTGCAACCTCCGCCTCCCGGGTTCAAGTGATTCTCCTGCCTCAGCTTCCCTAGCAGCTGGGATTACAGTCACGTACCACCACACCAAGCTAATTTTATTTATTTTTTTTTTTTGGTATTCTTAGTGGAGACGGGGTTTCGCCATTTGACCGGCTTGGTCTCGAACTCCTGACCTCAAATGATCCACTTGCCTTGACCTCCCAAAGTGCTAGGGCTATTATATTTAATTGCAAAAACCACAGTTACATTTGCACCAACCTAATATTAGAAACTAAAGGCATTCAATTGTGCAGTGAGATAGACACTACAAAGAGTGAAAGAAGAAAGTCCCTGTGAACTTGCGATGGGAAGGTTGTGAAAGGTGTTGAGTCCTAATAGATCAGTTATATTCGGGAAGATGAAAATGTGAGTGGATGGCTTCTCCATGTGAAAGGTCAGGGGACCCCTGAAGGGAAGAGGACTGCCCATTTGTCCTGTGAGGCTTTTGATGTCCTATTAACTAAGATTAAACACTCTTATAAGTGTTGCTCAGTAAATCAAGTTGCTAACTGAAGGGTGATTTTCTAGTCATTGATATGTAAGAACTATCATATCTGTAATAGATTCCTCCTCCTCCTCTGATGCTTACGGTCTAATTGTTAAGTGTAACAAATGATAAAATATTACAAGGCAAGGTAAGCTTGAAATTAATTAGTAATATCAAGTATAACTTACTGACAGAGGAATGAGGAAGTTACACTTTTGACTGCATTCTAAAATTATACAAATATATAGAAAACCAATGGCAGAAGCAATATTTAGGCATAACCAGTGGGATTTATGGTATTTCATTTCATGATTCTTATGAAGGTGTTAATAAGCCAATAAGACTTACTACACCCTAACATCCCTAACAACTTCAGAATGTATTCTCTTGGCGTTTCCCTTCCCTTTTTCTCCTCCTACTCTACCTTGTCTCTTCCTCTTCTTTCTCTTTCTTCTTTGATTTGGATAAAGATCTGTGACTTTAGTAAATATTTAGATATGCAGGATAGAAACTGAGTGACTTAAACATTTCCTTACTCTCCCAAAAAGATACAGATGTGTGACAGATTGACAGACAGATGAATATAACAAGGGATATACACTAGCAAGCAACTCATCGTGTCTAATAGATGAAACAGAATTAAACAATGTTCAGTATTGAAAGATGTGTTTTAATGTGTCTTATTTCAATGTACTTTGCCTCCCCTGATATCCCGAAACTATTATTTGTATAATCACCTGACTCTGCATGGTGAAAGGAACCCAAGGACTTGGCCTCAAGTTTCCTTTGGCAATAGTGGAAGAAAAATCCCCAGTGGTAGAAAGTCAATTGGTAGAGACAATGCCAGGGACTCTTTAATGTCAGCGGATGCTCTAGGGCTATTGCACCAGAATCTTCGACTATCTCTTGTTTTCTAGGGGAAAATTCATGGGAGAATTTGAATCTAGTACTAAATCTTTAAAAACAAATTGAACATTGTGGAAGTGTTAAAAAAGATGAAAATCTTTCCTTCCAAAAATTAGTCAAGATCTTACAGTAGAATTTTCTCTTTCGATTTGTAAAAGATTTTCTAGAATGGGAAATGTGTTTTGTGCTATTATGGGAATTTTATAAGGAAAGAAATTGAGTAACCACTATGAAGTCTAAATCTAAGAGAAGGCTCAGTAATATCGTACTTTTCAAGGAATAAAGGAAGATTATTTTGAATCATTAGGGAATCTTGTCTTGGTTATGGAAACGAGAAATACCAGATTCAAAGAAATTTATTCATCACAGGCAGACATTATCTCAAAAGGACAAATGCGATGCCAATGTTTCTAAATACTCCTCCATACATAGCAACCTCTGTCATTTGTAGACAAATCTGATTGAGAAAACTTTATTTTATTTCTAAAGAGTTGTGAAAATCAGGAAAAAAAATACCATTAATATCAGCTCAAAGAGATGATGGAAGGTTTTCTTTTTTCTTTTTTACTGTGCCGACATAACCAATTCATTAAATGACAACTCTTAAAAAATAAAGAGCAAAATAAAGAAACACACATCCCTTGTTGGGCATCTAGTGGGTAAACATGACAACAGCAGGTAAATTTCTCACGTTCTCAAGTTGTTTTGGTGTTACAATTCAGCTACATGTATACAGAGAAAAGCATACACGGTAAAATAATCTGCATTGTTTTACTGTCTTAATTCCTGTATATATGACACAGAAGGGCGGTGGGGTGAAAGGAAGATGTGAGGTTTTAAATATAGCAAAAAAAAAAAAAAAAAGAGAGATTTGACAACACTGGACCTCAGTAGGCATGGGCAATTTGTTCAATATCTTCAGGTCTCCAGAGAGCAAGAATGACTCTCAGGATATTGCAACTCTGTCTGCTTCCACCAGAGATCATAATTGGGCTATGAATTTTTATAACAGGAAAGTCTTCCTGTCAAAGACAGAGACTGACAAAAACTTTAGTTAACTGATACTGAAAGAAACTCAAAACAGAATGAATAGTATACATGAGTATCACTTATATATATAGTGCCTTTACTTCTTTCTTCTTTTTTACTTTAAAAGTAAATTCCTGTTATAGTTTACTGGTTAGAGCTTCTAAAATGTAGCTTGTTTATGAGGATTGCTCAGCATACTGGTTTTCTGTCCAGGGACATGATGTGCATTTTGGGGAATTCAAAACCCGATTGAGGTGAGTAGAGGTCATTCATAAATCGAAACCAAATGATAGCAGAAGATATGAACTAAAGCTATTTCTTTATCTGCAAAGAGCTAATTGGGCATATTTCAGGCCAAGTCTCTGAAGACACAGCTCGTGAACTCTGTCTTCTTGATGCTGTGCTCATTATAGACACTCAACAGAGGACTGGCTAATGCTAGGGAAATCCCCATCAAGGTGGTCTTTACATGACACTGCAGATTTACCTCAGGAAGGGGAGCAAAGAGAAGGAAAATGCAGTGAGGGTTTCTAGCAACTAGCTGCTTGTGGAGTACTGTTTGCCTTGTCTAATTTATCTGAAACTGAAGAGTTTGTCTCTAAAGGGTATCCTACTTCAGAAAATCTCAAGGGACATTTGTCTTTCTGACATATCAGCTGTTAGCTAGACCTTATTTCTTACTTGGTTGTTTTTAGAGTAAATTTTGGTTCTTTGGTCCTTTGTCTGCTATTTGAGGTGGAGGATTAAATACTGCATAGATGACCTATGTATGTATAGAACAACCTAATTTTGCCACAGATACCAAAACACTATAACGATAATCTTCAATTAATCCAATTATTATCTAAATTTCATAACCCGTCCTCAATTATCTACCTTAATATTTCTAGGTAAAGAGAGATGTACTGCATTGACTTCCTGTTTTTAAAGGGTAAAACAGCAAGAGAAAGAAAGACATTGTAGATATTCACAATGTTGTATGTGAGGAAGTTTTTGAATGGCTTCAGAAACCCAAATGAATATATTGAGAAAGCAGCATTGTGAGTTCTGTCTACATGTGAACCCAAAACTAGGATTTGAGGTAATCCATTTTCAGAAAGAAGTGATGGAGTTTGAATTCTAGGAAATCTTCCTGAATAAAATGGCCATGTGTTGTAAAGTTTAGATATTTATAACCCAAAATAGAAGGAATTTTGCTAGGTGATCTCTCCAGTTCCTTTTCAGTTATGAGAGTCTGATTTCTTCCCATGAAAAGTGTAGAAAAACTTCCTTTACTGTTATATGAATGTTATAAAATGTATGCTTGTCCATGAATTAGCTGATCAAAGATAATACATGAAAAAGTATTCAAAATACTCTGTGAATCTTTTTTTTAAAAAACTCTCTTTAAATAGATTTTTGTATTCAGAAGTTATGCTTTGTAAATACATTTTAAATTTCAGATTTAAACATTATCAAGACAAAATTGTGACTATGTGCATGTAAAACTAGAGAGCACTGGAAAATATGGTGGATGGTAAGGGCCTTTTGCAAGGTAATTAACTTATCTATTGAGTTTTTTTTTTTTAATTTCTAAGTACTTAATTGACTCTCCCACTAAAATTTAAACATATACAAATAATTTTTCATTCAGAAGATAGGCATTTGATTTATAACATCAACATATCATCACAAAAACTTAGAGAATGAGAATATCTTAATGGGCACCTGGTCTAAACATTTTAATTTTACCAGGTAAAAAGGTGGAAGTGGCATGGCATGGTGGCTCATGTCTGTAATCCCAGCACTCTGGGAGGCCGGGGTGGGCGGATAACTAGGTCAGGAGATCGAGACAATGCCGGCTAACACGGTGAAACCCCGTCTCCACTAAAAATGCAAAAAATTAGCTTGGTGTGGTGGCGCGCGCCTGTAGTCCCAGCTACTTGGGAGGCTGAGGCAGGAGAATGTTTCTTTAAAAATAACATCATTAGAAACCATACAAAACAGAACTGCAAATACTCCCTTCTAAGGTGTAAGGTATTCCAACATTTCTTGTTTGGACGTTAGAATTTTTTCTTCAGTAAGAAATTAAGTTGAAAATGAAGTAGAACATCTTACACTGTAATTCAAGTGCAATACATTAAAAAAATAAAAACAGTGTTTAAATTGGGAAAATCCGTTTACATGTGATTAAGTTTTAATCAGTGCCCTTAACCCAGATCTCAACAGCTAAAAATGTTCTTAGCTTGACAAAATAACAACCCATCCCCAAGGACAAATACTTAAATCAAAGAAGCATTTTATAAATAAAAAAATTCACGCACACATACACACACAGACCCCCACAATACATGAAACATATAATAATGTTTGTCTTTATTTGTAATGAAGTGGATTTTATACTGAATTCAGAACACAGATGCAAATTCAACAGTTGAACTCAATCAAATAAGTAATCTTATATAAAAGGATATCTCCCTCCAGCATGTACTTATCCTGTGTGACAGATATCTCTGTAATAAAGTAAATTCCTTCAACTCAAGCAGATTGTCCGAAATGGAAACACAATGAAAGGATGAATATACTCAAATAATCAACAGAAGAGCAAAATATAAAAATGCGAACATTTTCTGAATAATGCAGATGCCCTCCCTCCAAAAGAATTACATGTGAGGGAATATCTATATTGTCATAATTACTGGATAAGCTGCCCAATAGCTATTACACTAATGTTTCATTAAAAATATATATTTGCTTTATGCTTTTGCAACTTGCAAAGTTATTCCTAGCAAAAAGTTATTTCTCCTGAAACAGAATAAATAGGTCTTTCACAATATGCACTGGAATACATATTTTTGAAAAACAAGATCTCCACTCACCTCTAATTCTATCTTTCTGCTGGTGATTACTGATATATTTATTTTAAAATACATACTTTATAGGAAGTATCGTTACAATTAATATTTAGGACAACATTATAATTCGTGTTTTAGAAACTACTAAGGCAAGAGGACAGCTCCTACCATTCTACAAAAGTCTTTCAGTTAAGAAGTGACTAATTAATGGACTGAGTGGCTCAGAGCAGGGAGCCAGTCCTTAGCCAATAAAGCCCAACTCACTGCCACCCCACTGCCCCATATTCTCTGTCCTCTCTGCTGGAACTGTCTTGTGCTGAATACATGAACACCTAAATATTCAACTCACTCCTGCCATTTCTCCGGTAAGCAATCTTCCACAACCTGTGCCTGAGACTTGGAGGCTGTTTGTGGTCCACAGGCTTTAGGCGCCCTAGGGAAAGCCACGTGCACTAGTGCATCTGGATGAACTGTGGACTTTGTCTATCCGCGGTAATTCAACTTCCTAAGAGCTACATTGACTCATTGATTTGTATCCAGGCTCCGGGCTCCCAATTCCCACACAACGTAAGCTCCCTGCAGCCAGGGGATTTGGTAGGTTTGCCGTGTTGTTTAGTTTCTCTCCCCTGCGACCCTCTCTCTGAGCCTCACAGTGTGTTTGGCACGTGGTAGGTGCTCGGTAAACCTACTTTGAATGGGAGAGGGTTGTGTTGAAGAAAGGAAAGGCTGGGAGGACTTAAGATTTGAAGGTTTTCCTACACGTGTCCAGGAAGAAAGAAAAAGAAAAAAGAAATGAGTATCAGAGTCTTATCATCATTACAGTTCTTATGGTTTTTAACCGACCTTTAGGAGTTCCACCGACGTGACCCAAGCAGCTGGTAGGAGAATCTGGGCTGGATTCGGAAGGCGCAGCTACAGGACGCCCGCTGCCCCGGATCGGAAGGCGCAGCACCTCAGGCCACAATCTCAGACACGCCCTCGGGTCCCGACAGGTGTTGCCCGCCTCCCACGGGGCTCCGGGACCCCGGTCCCCGGGCTGCCCCCTGCCTTCTGGGGCGCTGGAGCGCGCGCAGTGGCGGAGCTGGAGCCACCCAGTGCTTCGCACGGGCGCGCTCCGCTTCTCCGGGTTTTAGCGGAAGCCTGCGGGGGGCGGGGTAACCGCGGAAGCCGGCGGCCGTGGGCGCGCGGGTTGGGGGCTCTCGCGCCGCTCCGGGCTCTCCCCCCCCCCGGCTGCGGTTGCCGAAGAGAGGCCGGAGCGCGGCGCCCGGCTGCTCCACCTGGCGCGCTGAGCACCGCGCGGGGAGCCCCCGGGGGCGGGCGGTGGGGGGCGCGGACTGCGGGAAGAAGGCACGAGGCGTCGCCGCAGCTCGGTCAGGGGCCGGGGCCCCGCCGCTCGCCGCTGCACTAACTTGCCGCTTGGTCTCGCCTCGCCGCCGCGGCTCGCTGCGCTTTGGGTGGCGGGGGGCGGGGAGAGCGGGGAGTCAGAGGGTCTGCGGTGGCCGAGGGAGGGACCCTACGACGGGGAGCCCGCCCGGTGCCGCTCTTCTTCCCCTCCCCGCCCCTCCGCTCCCCCCACCCCGTCCCTTCCGCCGATTCCGGGAGCGACGGGCGCCCGTGACCTGCGAACGCTGCCAAGTGACGGTCCCCGAGTCTGAAGCGCCCGCGAGGAAGCGAGCGCCAGCGCGGGCCGCCGGCGATGACGGCCGCGAAGCAGGAGCCGCAGCCCACCCCGGGGGCCAGGGCGAGCCAGGCGCAGCCGGCGGACCAGGTGAGAGTCGGCAGCCGCGGCCAGGCCCTCCCGGGAGGGGTGGCTCCAGTGCGCGCTCCGCCCGCCTCCCGCTTCCCAGGCTGGGCTCCCGCGCCTCCCTCTTCTCACCCTCCCCCGCCCCGCCCCAGTTCCAGGCTCTCCTGCTTCTCCACGGACTCTGCGGGAAGTTAGAGCCTCTGCGTGCGCTCCGGGGCCCGGCGAGAGGATGCGCAAGGTGGAGAGCCGCGGGGAAGGGGGCAGAGAGGTAAAGGCTGAAGGTGCCCCGGGGAACCCCGGCGGGCGGCCCACCGAGGGAGGGAGAGGCGGCCGGGACCAAGGAATGGGGCCTCTTGGTTCCCCATTAACGCACGCTGAAGAAATCTGCTGCGCTCCTGACGGCCGCTCACCGGGTTCGAGCCCCGTCCTCCTATAGCCGGGGCGCTCGCTGGCCAAAGCGACCCGAGCAGGCGAATGACCTTTAGGCGGACGGGGTTTTCCCTCTGCTTTCTTGTTTCTTTTGAGGAGACGGGTGTGTGTTTGTGAGGTGGGGATGGGGGAAGAGTGTCCCAGACATCCGTAGTCTGCTGAGCGGAACGGAGCTTGGGGAGCGGCGAGGCATTAACGATTAAGTGGAGCCGGGAAGGCGCTGGCTTTGGTGATGTGTTGGGTTTGGATGTGTCGCGTCTGCACAGATGAGGTGCCCTGCGTGGGCTGAGGGTTATTCCTGTCTCTTTCCCGTCCGTCTACACCCGCCAACCCCTTTTTGTTTTGGTCTTTAGAAATCTGTAGCATAACCGTACCGTCGTGGATCCCCATCTCGTCTCTGTCCCTGATCTGGGGTGATTTGGGACTTCGGTGTCGCTCTTTTTCCAAAGTTGGAGGGTCGGGAGCGCCGAGACACCCTGGCGAGGAGGAGGAGGAGGAGGAGGGAGGCTGCGCTGAGCCGGGTGCAGGTGCGCTCACGTTTGCATCAATTAGGAACTCCGGGCAGAGAGAGCTGCACTTAGGTCAGGGATTAACTGTGGACCCGCGGGACCCAAGCGCTGGGGTAGGAGGACTGGGGATCTTTGTTCGGAGTGCGCTGCGAAGGCTGCTGGAGGCGGACACCCTCCCAGCTTATTGCTAGCGTGGGATAGAGGGAGCGCACGCGGCTAGGCTCCAGCAGCGACTCGGCTTTTCGCGTATTCTAAGCACTGAAGAGCCTCTTAAGGGGAGCTGTCCAAATCGCCCAGGAGTGGTGGCGAGACACAGGAGGCCATGCCAGCGATGCTGTTATTAATATTGCAGACTTGGTCATCTCTCCTGGCTTGCGGTTTCTTTTCTCCTCTTCCCTCCCCTTCTCTTTTCTCTCACATGTGTTTCACACAGGTGGTGGGGATTACTCAATGACTTACAGCTCCCTTCTCGTTTATTAGTGGGAGGGGGTTGAATGTTGGCAGTTCTTACAAAGCATTTGTTTTCTTAAACGATCCTGTTTGATCCATACTCTGAGATAAGTATGAAAATATTAAAACATCATACGTTCCTTCCTTTTATACCCCTTCCTCCTAATCCCCAGCACACATCAGAATGTAAACATTGGTTAGCAGATATAGAAAAATAATTTCAGAACGGGAACATGGATTGAACATCCTCTTTCAGGCTGACAGCCCTTAAATTTCATTAACAAGCCGCCGAGCCTCTCTACTGCTCTGGGAATGATGCTACCAGTAAGAAAGATTAGCCAGGTGAGAGTCCCCACATGAAATCTTTGCTCACTAACCTGTGACACCAGCTGGTTACTTGAGGCGCTGCAAACAGTTCAGTGATGGTGGAAGTGGGATGCAGAAGCAGAGCAGAGCAGAGCACACAGGAGCTGAAAATGTATGTGTAGATAGTGGACACGCTGTCTATACACAACAAATCCCCTTGTCAGGATTAATCTGGTACTTAAAATTCATATGAAGAGATAGGTGCAAGCTCGAATCCATTTTTCTTGTTAGTGTGCATTTTTTAATAGCCACTTCAAATATTCAGGGAGTGGCTACTTTGCAGAACTCTTGTTTTAATAGAGTATTTTAAGTGCCTTTCTGAGTATTGACATGATTTGAAAATGTCAGTTTTATGAATCTTATGCATGTGTTCTAATAGATTGATTTTACAAAGAAAGTCAACTGAAATATACACATGGCACCTCGCAGTGAGGGTGTTTCAAGCACTCCCAGGAAATACTCATATCTAGCATATTTTTGTTCAAAGCTTGACATATGAAACGATGGAAAAAGAATGTGAATGATTTTTGTGACAGCTTAAACTACTTTCCGTAAGACTACTAAGCTTTTATTAGCCATATTAGTCATTATGGTTTAATTCTGCAATTGCCACACAACTCTCGTGCAATACTAGATATAATATAGCTTCATAAAGATGTGATTAGTTGTGTGTTTTCTATAATATTTCATAAAAAAGATTCATAAATTTAAATTAAAATGTACCTTTATGAAATTTTACCTAGTGGTTAAATAGGGCACATGTTCCAACAAATCAATCACTATGCATTGATTTTGAATGATTTAAGCTATTGCATGTTTCCAAGAATGTCTTCTAGTTTCTATGGTGAAGATTTTTATGAAACCTCAAAGATGCCTTGTCCTGAGGCCATCAAACACCTATTTCCACTTATAGCACAGTGGAAGACCATAATCCTTCCTGTAACTGAAAATGGTTATGAACCATATAATTTGGTTACAGTTACAGTCCTGTAGAGGGCTCAACCTTCCTCTTTTATTTGATCTGTTAGTGTCCTCTGGCACAGGGTGCCATGACAAGAGGACATGCCCTCCCTCCCTAGAGAATGGTGACAACAAGAATAGGAGGGACCGTGTAGGGACCGTGTATTTTATGAATATTCTGAATCATTGGAAATATTTTTATCATCTTAGTAATCTTTCTTTTAAAGATTCTTTGATTACAAAATATTTATGACAGTTATTTTTGTTGCTTTCACAACACTCCACATTTACAAAATATCTAAAAACAAATGCCTTGACATGACTAGACACAATCATTTCTTAACATGATCAATATCTCAATTAACATTGAAAGAGCTAAGAACTCTAGTGGCTAATTGTAATTTATTATTATTTTTAAAAATCACTTCCTGAATGCTTGCCACAGGCAGAGTACTATTCTTAGGGTTCATAAAGTAACATTTCTTGAATGTATTTTTCTATTTGATTCTCAAAGCAGTTTTTTGAGGTGAGTCCTGTTTTTATTCCTATTTTAGAGATGAGAATACAGAGGATTAAGGAAGTTATTGTGGAAGTGAGACTTAGCCAGGAACTCATGGAGGTCTGAAGCCTCAACTTTTAACTTCTATACAATCATGATACAACATATTTCTATTGTAAGAATGAAAATAATTGCAAATTATATGTGTATGTGTGCACATGTGCACAAATTTACCTTGAATATAAAACAAATGAATAATTTGTTTAAAGCTTCAACTATACAAGTAAATCACAGCTCTGCTAATTTTAGTTAATATCACGCTACTGATCTAAATAATATAAAAGAACAAGATAGATCCTCATAAATTTATAGGAGCTTTTTTTGATCTTTGTATCATTTGTCTCTGATGACGAGACTCTCAACGTTTGTTAAATGAGTATATATATATTTTTAATGGTCAATCAGACAAGGTTTAGAGTTTGTTCACATTTCCACCAGGTGGCACCCTTCTGCTGACTCCAGTGGGTAAAAATATTGCCTAAAAAGCGTGGCTGTTCTCTCAGCTCCAAAAGCAAAACAAAAATAACCACACAAAAACAAAAACAACAAAAACAAAACCATCCCACTTTTTAGAGTATGACTAAAAAGCATATTTTTAAAAGCAACTATTTGACTACAAAGACAGCACTTGTTATGCATTTTCTTTAAAAAAATGCATTTTGGTAAAAAACCAATCTCTTACAATTGAACGTGAAGCTGTCACTTGATGAAATAATTCATGACCAGAATTGAGATCAAATGTGTAATGTGTAAAATGCCTTCTCTGAAATATCGATGTGCTTTAGACATTTAGGTAATATCAACTTAAAATGTTTTAATACAGAAATTGGTATTCAGTATTTTTATTTTACCTTTGGTCTAGCAAACCAGATTAAATATTCAAACATATGCTTAATGAAAAATTGCAAAAGAGTTATTCTTCCATGTGCCCTTTGCTAATATATACACATCATAATTTGATCAATAAACTATTGTTTTTAAAACACAACCATGAAAAGAGCTTTCATAAATCATATTGAAAAATTTTAATTAATAAAAAACATATTACTTCGAATTATTCAACATATAAAATGTCATATTTAATTGGGAGTAGAGTTCTATATAATTTGGTTATAAAAGATAATATACATTAAATAAAGATGTTATATGGAAGTCTATGATTTGAGAGAAAATATGCATTTCCTACTCTCCCTGAATTTCTTATTTTTATATGTAAATATTATATATTATATAAATTTATAATATAAATATATATATAAATTTATAATATAAATATATATTATATAAATTTATAATATAAATATTATATATAAGGCATTTTGTTTATTAAGAACATACAACAAATATCTCTTGCTTAGAATCTTCTAATATATCTATATATCTGTTTGATTATTTCAGGATCTGAGCAAATGGTACATTTTAAAAAGATTAAATTATATAAAACAACTTAAAGAAAATTGTATTATTAAATATCAATGCTGCATTATCTTATGAAGCACATTACATTGGAAACAAAACAACCAAATTTCTCCCAGTCTCAGTAAAAATAAAGCAAATTCAAAATTTTGGTTTCTTGAATTATTTATGATTACAGAATGTCTTAAGCTTTACTACTTATAGGCACATTTTAAATTTACTTACAGTGTGACATGTAGCAGACACAATGCCAGAATGCTGTGACTAAGATTGTGAGATTTTGTGCTATCAACAACAAATATTTATTCATCACTGTCTATGGGTTATGCACTGGAAGTCACAGAGTCAAGTTCATATCCCAGGTCCGCCAAAGACCAGTGTGTTTTCTTGGGCAGGATAACTGAATTTCCCCATTTCACCTGTGAATGGAGGTGACTGCAGTTCCCTTTAGATGTTTGTTCTAACGGTTAAATGAAATAATATGTAGGAGTTTTTGAATAAGGTCTGACTCATACCAAGTCTTCTTATTAAATGTGTAGTCTGGGAATAAGAGCCTAGACAAAATAGAAAAAAAAAAAAAAATCTGGGCCTGGTGCAGTGGCTCCCACTTGTAATCCCAACACTTTGGGAGGCTGAGATAGATGGATTGAGCCTAGGAGTTCTAGACCAGCGTGGGCAACGTAATGTGACTTTGTCTCTAAAACAAACAAACAAACAAACAAAAAACAAAAAAGAAAATAAAAAGAAAAGAAAGAAAGAAAGAATTATCAGGGTTTAGTGACATACTCCTGTGGTCCCAGCTACTCAGGAGGCTGCGGTGGGAGGATTGCTTGAACCTGGGAGGTCAAGACCACAGTGAGCTGAGATTGTGCCACTGCACTCTAGCTTGGGCAACAGAACGAGACCGTCTCAAAAAAAAAAAAAAAAAAAAGCCTCAGATTATTAAGCCGTGTATAGCTGATCCATTATTTTAAGTTTACAGACAACCATATTTTGCAGTGCACATATTAGTATGATTACACATGAGTTTTTGGGTGCATGCAAATATTATATTAATGGATTTGGACATCAATCCTATTTTGGCAGGCATCCAGATTTCAAAATATTCTGTTACATCCTGACTTTCATTCAATCAAAATTGAATAGTAAAATTCTTTACTGTTCTACTCTGTAAGAAGTCAGGCTAAAAGTAAACTTTGGCTAATTCTCACCAAGAGTTGAATTAGCTGCTGAATATGTTGCATATTGTTTTCAATGCAATGTACTTCCCAAGGTAATCAGCATGAGAAAGAGGATATTTAAAGGAAAGACAGATGGGATTTATAGAAATATGTCAGGGGGTGAGATTTCAGTCAATGTAGCAGGAGAGTGTGCTTGGCAGTGGAGCCACCAAGAACCCAGGGTGCATGTCCCTACTGTTATGGGGAGGGGCATGGAATTGGATTAAACATAAGTCAAAAGACTTTTTCACAAATTTTTTCTACACCTTTTTCTGTGTAACCTTTAAACACACATGTATGCTCCACTTATTAAAATCATCTCCATATATTTTCATACTTGCTAAGTGACTTGTGTGTCCTAACCAAGTTCATGTATGACTAACATTAGAATGGGGGCCATATACTAAGACATACATCAACCAAAAAAAGGTTGGAGGTTTTTCCATCTGAAGACTTGTGCAAGGTCCAAAAAGAAGCCAGATAAATGATAAAGGGACTGTAAACTTCTTCATAAACTTATATCCTTATGGATAGTTAGAATTGTTCTTGCTCTAGTGAATGCTGTCCTGCCTTGAGAAGTTGTGGAGTTTAGTATTGATTATTCCCAGCATACTCTTGTTTTAAAGTTTTTATTGACCTGATCCACAAGTTTTCTGGCAATAACCAATCTCTGTTTATTTGTCCCTATCTAATAGCACCTGTTCTCTAAGGCTTTTAAAATTAGCACTTACCTTCTTTCTACACGGTAGACATTCTTATCATTGACTACATATTAACTCAAGGAATGGTTGTCGTTTTCAGTATAGTAGAGAAGGCTGGGAAGTAGGTTCGGTGGGGAGACTGGGGCACTGAAAAGAAAGCTCTTCTATTGTAGATTTATGTTTGTTAAGCTTTCCTAAATTCTTAGAATCTCAGGCATATCCATTTGTAATGGTAAATGTGTCATCCACTGCCAGGCTAAATACAGAAAACTCACTTTTATCCAAAACTGATAAAATAAATATTTTGAATTGTTCTGTTCTGTAATTGATGTGAACAGTATTCTTTTAATGTCTTCCACAAAATAAAAAAAATTTTTTTCTAAGTTTTTCATGCCATAGTTTATTTAAAAGTTATTAAAATATTCTATAACATTTTTGGAATTGCCAAATGATTTTCAAATTTAATTACATTTTGGGGAGAGGCAACGTGATGTAAGACTGAGAACAAGGTCAAACAGATTTCAGATTGATTCCTTCCTCTGCCATTTACTAGGCAATTTATAATCCCACTAAAATCATTCTTTCATCTTGAAAAGGGAGAGGATGATGAGAATGTTGCAATAATTAGAGAATCTATGTGAATGAGTTTTTATTGCATCTGGCTCAAGCTTGAAACCTAGTAAGTATTTTCATTCTTAATGCTATCGTGCTTCTAGATCATCTCAGAAGGATATTTTCTTCTTTTACAAAAGTAAATTTGCACTTATGTGAATGAAAATGCTGAATATGTGTGTGTACACCATTATCAAATATATACACACTATACACACACATATATATATATTTATGATCTAAATGCTATGGATCTTTTATAGGTAGATTATTATAGGGCGTTAGATGAAAATGAATTCGTGACAACTTGACTGATTTCTACTATTTTTAGATGAAGAGTCTATTTTCACAAAAGACTTAGAGTCTTGTTTGATATGTTCATGGTTTAATATTCTCTTTCCAGAAGTTTGGTGCCCAGGAATGATTTACTTAGAAATTCTTTGCATACGGGAACAGGTGATATTATTTAGTTGAAATTTAAGAAAAGTTAGTTGAGTGCATAATCAAAACCGACTTTACATTTGGGAATGTTCTCCAGCCAAGCTATGTATTATCTAACTTTAATATTATTGTAATTCGTCATGCTTACTGGTTTTCTCAGGTCAAGACAAAATAACTATGTATCAGATTATAAAAGATAGCAAATGAAGAAAAGGGAGGATAAAAGCTATTTTTATTATTCTTATCCCCACTCTCTTTTTGATATGTAAATGAAGATTCAGTTTCTTATTCCATCTGAGAAAGTCTGCTCTGAAAACAGAAATGTGACAAATCTGTATTACGTAATCAAGAACTTGAGTGGCAGGCTGCCCTGTGATTTATTTTCAAATAATGGACCAGAGAGACCACTTGAAGTTGCATTAATAATGCTTGTACAGGGAGAAATAGGCCTTTCTTGTTATTGGAACATGGGTTTACTTTTGGCAAGAGTTGAGTAAGTGAAAACTCTGATATTCATACTTACATTAATCACATCTCACCTCCAGGAATGGTTTTAATGTAAGTTAATCAATGCAAAACATGGCTCTTTTTTTTCACTTCACATGTTTTAAAACAAGTACTAGAAGTCTTTCATAAAGCAATCCTTTAAATCAATGTGTCACAAATTTGCATTGATAATTCTTCTCTCTTAGACACAGAATAGAAGATGAGGAACTGAGACAATGTTTGAATAGAGGTAAAAATATATCTTTTTGAGAGGAAAAAAAACTGAAATCCATGAAGGATTCCTCAAATTTAGAATAGGTCATTTGTCTGGCAAAATTAGTCTATAATTTAAATTTCCTAGGATCTATGAAATTATGAATAGATTTTCTATCTACCTCACTAGCTTTTAGGGACTTCAAGGGAAAAGACGATACGTTTCACCTGTATGTACTTTTTTAGAGTACTATAAAACATAAGTGGTCCAATAAATAAAGTGAACATATTTTGAAGCCAAACCCAACATCTTCATCAGGGTTATTTCTTTTTTTCTGATCTTAGGAATTGTGTGTACCCTACTTCTTGACACCCATAGTGAGAGTGATAGGCATGTGTGAATTGAACCAGAAGTTGAAATGAAAGAAACTCCCCTCCCTCACATTTATGAAGGTTGCTTATAATTGCTCCAAAATGAGATTTGCTCAACTTTAGGCCACTGTGGCATGATGAGTGGCTCATTATTACACATTTCTATTTGCTCAGCGTCAGTATCTCTGCACTCTAGGATGGTACTTCTCGTTCCTTCATCTCTCTTTGCATGAATGCCATCTCCAAACCCAAATCCAGTTCCCTCCGCCTCTCTACATTTCTGAGAGCCATCGTCTGTCTAAGAGTTGATTGACTTTCTGAGAAAGAATACTTTGATATTGGCTGGGCACAGTGGCTCGTGCCTGTAATCTCAGCACTTTGGAAGGCCGAGGCAGGTGGATCACCTGAGGTCAGGAGTTTGAGACCAGGCTGGCCAACATGGTGAAACCTTGTCTCTACTAAAAATACAAAAATTAGCCAGGTGTGGTGCCACATGCCTATAATCCTAGCGACTCAGGAGGCTGAGGCTGGAGAATTGCTTGAACCCAGGAGGCAGAGGTTGCTGGGAGCCAAGATTGTGCCACTTAACTCCAGTCTGGGTGGCAGAGCGAGACTCCATCAAAAAAAAAAAAAAAAGAAAAGAAAAGAAAAGAAAAGAAAAAGAATAGTTGGATATTGGTAGCAGCATTGCCTTTCTAAATTATTTCCTTCAAATAGCCATGACATGAATGATAAATGATGATAACATTCAGAGAAACTGTTGTTTCCTAAATGTCACACCTTTGTATTCAAATCAGGAAACAGACAATGGAGAGGTGAAGTGACTTGTCTAAGGTCACACTGTTGTTTAGAATTAGAAGCAGTACTTGATTCTGGGTCTCTTTCCATCTAGCCATTCCCAGATTCAGCTGCTGGTACAAAGCCTTCGGTGGTGTCATGGTAGCACATCTGCCTTCCTTGCCGCTTAAGTATAACCTTAAAAAAAAAAAACAAAAAAAAAACAAGTTTTAAAATGCTTTGTGTCCATAGGCAAGGCTCATTTGACATTTCTTGATTTCTCCTTTGTGATGTGCTAGTTCTAGGTCAGTGGTCCTTAGACTTTTGGCACCTGGCCACCAGACATCACAGAAGTGCATATGCATCTTCTGTACTTTGCCATGGCAAGAGGTTACACGCAAAGCCATAATGCCATTCTGAACGTAAACTGTGAAATTCACTACTCCAGTGAAATGGCAGTGCCACCACTACACAAACAGAGTTGACTTTCTCAAGCTTCCCCTCTTACACTCAGCATGAATAAGCAACTGCTGATATCTACACACAGCATCTGAAATTGCAACTCCCAGCAATGTAGTAGCAATTGGGTGAATCCCTCCTAAAGGAGAGATGCTCTTAACAACTGGGGAATGCATGCAGGTAAATTTTAGAGCTTTCTTGGGACATTAATGGAAACAACAGACTTCTGATACACTGGGATTCTTGGTAAGAAAGGCTTCTCCCCCGGGCGTGGTGGTGGGTGCCTGTAGTCCCAGCTACTCCGGAGGCTGAGGCAGGAGAATGGCTTGAACCCGAGAGGCGGAGCTTGCAGTGAGCCCAGATCGCGCCACTGCACTCTAGCCTGGGCGACAGAGTGAGAATCCGTCTCAAAAAAAAAAAAAAAGCTATTTCCAGAAGCTGATTATTTGTATTTCCAGACAGAGTTTTCAGAGCACCAAGTTCCAATACAGACCAGAGAAATGATTATATGCTAAATAAATAAGTCCATGAGGATAATTTTTCAGACACATGTAATTATTTTTAGTGGATAGACCCAGGGATTTCTACTCATTTAACCTGACGTTAAACCCTAGAACCTTGACATACTAGTTTGAGCAACTTACCCAGCCTCTCTGTATCTGATGCTTCATCTGAAAATGAATTGATGTTTATTTTGCAGAACTGTTGTGAGGATCAGCAATGAAATAGGTTTACTATCCAAGAGGTGCTGAAAAATGGTGGTGCTTATTATTTGGTTATTAATATGTGTTGGGTTGTTATACCGGACATAGACAGAGCGATGGAAAATCAAACTATGTTGGATGTTGAAGTTCCCAGAAGTTGGAAACACAGCTTTAAAGCACCTTTTGTCATTGTTTGACATTGGAAGCTTAAGGGCATCTTTAATATTGAGCTCCTGTTTTGGTTGGTATGCAGATTATATAGAGTCCTCCTGACTCCAAAGCAAACATGGATTGGGAGTTGGTTAAGAAGCTGCATGGCATCCATTTTTATATTTCTTATCACGCAGAGAAGTTGACAAAGTTTATATTTTGAAAATGGAAAACTGAATATGCATTTACTTTTCTGAATTTGTTTTTTTTCCCTTCCCCATCCCCATGGTTAAATTCCGTCTCATGCTTATAATGTATTCTGCATTTGGACTGCAGCTTCGTTCCTTCTCAGAGCTACAGTTCTTGAGCTGTAACAGCGAATCCAAAAAAACTAATATGGAATCACAGATGGTGCAAATATTTGAAAATAGATAAATACAATCTAGGATTAGCTGCTTGGACTCAGAAATGTCAGCTTCACATTGCTTATTGGTCACACAAGGCAATTTTAGTTAAGGAAAACACAGGACAAAGCCATCATGATATAAAATTGCTGGTTTGAAGATGTGCAGCATAACAAGCCCATAATTGTTATGTAAACCTCAAAATGAGTCATTCTGTAACAAGAAAAAGGTATTTTAGAGAGATCACAAAGCACCAACAGGTTATATAGGGCTAAAAAATTAAGCAGATACCATAACTCGTTCCTGTTGTACAGTACCATCTGCTGACTTCCATTTACAGCCAATTTTTAAGGAGAAAATATCTGTTCTAATGGGTATGCTTTAGGTAGGCACATATTAAATGACCTGAGCATGAGATGCAACAGTCAAATTGCCAGCGTAAAATCTGCAGATGGTAATTATTAGTAACATGCACTGTGGGCTCATAGTTCTGACTCTGAGAGTCTTAAATAATAGAATCCCATTTTCTCTCCATTATCCCCCTTTAAGATGTACATATATTCTGAAGGAATCTTACAACCGACTATGTGATTAAGTTATCTGGTTTACTGATAAGGCAGTTGAGAACGATAAAGGCTGATTTGCTCAAAATCATACAACTGATCAGTTTGGTACAGTAGAAAGAAGAGTTCCTCCCACCTAGGTTAAGAGTTGGTAGAAGGAGCCTCACTCAATTATCAGAATCATAGAAATAACTTTGGATTGTCTGTGATGATGTCGATAAAGAAAAAATTGATGAGAATGTAAGTGGAAAGGTTCCAGCTGGTTTAGGATTTTATTTTTATTTTTGGTAGCAGGTTTAATAAGAAGATGTATTGTATAGATTCTATCTGAAAGCAATAAGGTTAACTATCATGGTTTGTGTAAAGTCTAGGTTTTCTGCAGTATCTCATTTTCCTGATGAAGTAGAAGAGAGTAGGAAGACCCGTTCCAGATCAGACATGAAGATCTATAAGACAGTATTGATCGCTTTCAATGTACATGTTTCCAAATGAGAAAATGTGGTTCTCGTATAAGTATGTAGTGAATATTTGTCAATAATTTAACTTATTAAAGGAGCCATCAAGATGGTAAAGTTGGTTCAAACAGTATTTGAGGAAGAGAGATTTATATAGTCTGAAAAGGAATGGCTTACAAAGTTTCCAAAATTAAATACAAAACTGGTTAATATTCAGGCCATAACTTTTGTGTTTGTCTTTGATAGCAGACAGAAATTTTTGGGTACTTATATATTTTCTATAATTAACATCTAACTTTATAGACTGTGGGCCTATGTAATAGCAAATAGTAAGAGAAAATAGGGTACATTCCCCTAAAATTCTATAATCATATGTCGGCTGATTAGATAGTGCCCCAGTTTGACATTGAAAAGATGAATGTATAGTTATACTTGTTTTTATTTACAGTTCTCGAATTGTTTTCTTAACATTCCCAAGCTCAGAAAAATTGTGCAATCTGGGCCTACACTTGATGTCACAGCCAACTTCTTAAGTCATGTTATTAAAGTTTTCTGTAAACCCTGTGGAGCTTCCAGTGTCAGATTTGATTCACCAGCAGTGAGGTCCTGGAATGCAGCCAGTCAGCCAACATTGCTTGTCGGGTTTGTCCCAAGAAATTGATGCAGGTGTCTATGAAGGCTAGAGGAGAACAATTTGGTAGTCTCAAATAGCTTTTCTTTGGAGAAGATGAGATAGGATAATTGCACACAAGGAAGTGAGAAACCATTCTTGAAGGATTTAGCAAAATGAGATTCGGATCAAGCTGCGTGGTGGTAGTTGTTCCTGGAGATGGCTACTTTTAGAAACTGCCCTTAGGGAGAAGAGAGATTAACTACCAACATGGTGTGATTTAAGGCATATCATAAATTTTCATTCCCTTGTGACTCGCATCTGTGACTGTCAGTGCTCTGAAAAATAGCTCTTCTCATTCATCTGTGTAGCTCTGGATTCCACCATGACTTCCTTTGTTCCTTTAACTTCTGGCTGGGCAGGGGATATTAACAATTTATGTCTAACTTGTATCATTTCCTGCTCCGTGATTGCTTGGTATGCTCTGTCTTGAGAACCCATATTTGGGGGCCAGAGAAGATGAAGGTCTTATGAATTTAAGAGGGGTGGGGGAACAGGAAGAAATAAACATATGAATGGGATTGGGAACCTCAAGAGAGAATCACCACTTGCACATGGGGCAAGCTACTTCCCTTCCCTTGCCCTTTCCTACCAGTGTTAAAAACAAAAAAATAAGTTTACATGAGTACTTCTGTGCAGTGTAAAAAGGGGTTCAATGAATAATTTGGAGTTTAAAAAACTTATTGAATAATTGAACCTTAGTTTCCTAAAATATCTTTTACTTTCTCACAGAAAAGACCAGCGCTATTCAATAGTACATACTGGAAAGATGAAAATGTTCTGTATTGGTGTTTTCCAATATGATAACCACCAGCTACACATGGCTATCATGTTTAAACACTTGAATTGTGACAGTGACACTGAAGAATTGTATTTTTAATTGTACTTAATTTTAATTAATTTAAGCTTAAGTAGCTGTATGTGGCTAGGGCTACTATATATTAGAGAATCAGTTTTAGAACACTATCCAAACTTTAATGTGGGTATGAATCACTTGGGGATATTGCTGAAAAGCAGATTCTAGTCCAGTGAATGTGAGCTGGGGTCCAAGATTCTGCATTTATAGCAGGTGCCCAGATGATGCCTAGTCTGTGGACCACACTCTGAGAAGTAAGGCTTTATTTCTCAAAAGCAAGGATTCTCTAATCCTAATTTATGTCTTTAGCCAGGCTGACACTTGTCCTAGAGGATGAGTCAGATGAGCCTGTAGCAAAATTACAAAATATGACTTTCAAATTATAAAAGGAAAGAATTTCAGTGACAAAATTATTAGTATTTTTATTATTGACAGTAGCTAAAATTTTGTGTCTATACTATTTATATATGTTGTATATTTATATTTTATATATTTTATAAAAAATTTAAATATATTTATATATAAATATATATTTGTTATATATAAACATTTTATATTTATAATATTTATATATTTATATTATGTAATGTAATCAATTGCTTAAATTTTATTTAATCCTCACCATAACCTTATGTAATAGATTCCACTTTTATTCCAGTTTTGCAAATGAGGATCTGAGGTTTATTAAAGTTAAGAGACTCCCAAGACTCCACAGGTAGTAAATGCAGAAGTTGTCTTTTGATCACATACAGTCATACATATTATAATAACCATCAACTTCTTTCCTGTTATTAAGTGGAGGCCAATGATTTCCCACTTGCGGCTGATCAATAAATCATATTTGATTCTTTTCTACAAAGGATAATAGTAAGAGCCATACTAGTAGTTGTAGTAGTAATGCTCACTAGAACTCTGTGTACAAGTTAGAACTGTCATCCTCACTTCAAAGATGAGGAAATTGAGGTTCAGAGAGGGAACCTCTTTGGTTACATAATTTGATTACGACCACATAACTTGTAGGTAGGTGGCAGAACTGGGTTTTGAACCTGGATTGTCTGCCTCTGGAGTCCATGCCCTTGTCTGTTCCAGTAGACAGTTTCTCATGTGTTTGGTGAGCACCTGCTCCCTTAGGCAATGCACTGTGAGCATGGCTACTGCCTTCTGTATATTCAATTGAAAATGGAGTTTACTTTGAAAATTTTAATCATGTATAATTTTATGTCTATCAAAAATATTTTAAGACAAAAAGTCACTCTTTATTGTCCAAAATGTATAATTTAGTTTGTAGCATCTTTGAAGCCAGTTTTTAAATTCGTTTGTCATCCATGAAGCTGACTTTTTAATTGTGCATATTTAGTTTTAGATCTTACCTCCACTTTTTTATTAGTGAAGAACTGGTGAGCACTGTAAGACATGTACATGTACGTGTGTGTATATGTGTATATATTAATGTAAACTTTACAATTTAGAAAAACTTAAAATTGTCTTCCTTGTCTCCCGTAATGAACTTGAACGACAAATTGGCTTCATCATTTTATGAAAGAGAAGGTGAATGCTTTGCTCCCGGTTTTTCAGTAACCTAAGCATCTGATTTAAGCCTTATTTTTCAGAGGTCTTTGTCATTTTGTTTAGTTCGGCAGTCGGTGCTAACGGAGTCTATTTTTTTCACTTCCAATTTTAAATAAAACACACAATCTTCTTTAATTTCTGAATAACATATTCATGTAGTTCAAACATCAAATATTACACAAATATATACAGTGGAACGTCTCCTTCCCAGAGTTGTTCCCCAGCTGTGCAGCTCCTCATTCTGTCATTCTTTTGATAGGTAATCACTAATATTATTTTCATTTCTTTCTTCCAGAGAAATGTTTGTAGTTTCAAGCTAGTCTAGACACATTCTTTACCTCTCCTTTTATAAAAATGTTAGCAGACATGTTTATTTTGAAGTGTATAACATTGCTTTTGTTTTGTTTTGTTTTTGTTTTTGTTTGTTTGTTTGTTTGAGACAGAGTCTTGCTCTGTGGCCCAGGCTGGAGTACAGTGGCGCGATCTCTGCTCGCTGCAAGCTCCGCCTGCCAGGTTCATGCCATTCTCCTGCCTCAGCCTCCTGAGTACCTGGGACTACAGGTGCCCGCCACCACGCCCGGCTAACTTTTTGTATTTTTAGTAGAGACGGGGATTCACTGTGTTAGCCAGGATGATCTCGATCTCCTGACCTCGTGATCCACCTGCCTCGGCCTCCCAAAGTGACATTGCTTTTTTTTGATAAAAACCTTGATATTATCAAAATAGACCCTCTAAAAGTTGGCTTCTTTAAAAAATGTTCCTCCTTTTTTCATGATGAATTAGATATTATGTGCCTCATAATCTGATAAGTGATAGCCAGTCTTGGTGCAGGTGTGTTTACTGTGCCCTTGCCTACAAACAGAAGGGAAGAGCCATGCTCTCCACACATTGCCTGACAAAGAGTAGGTGCTCATTAAACACCTGAGACACTGTCTACCGGAGTAGACAAGGGCATGGACTCTAGGGGCAGACAATCCAGGTTCAAAGCCCGGTTCTGCCACCTAGAAGTTATGTGGCCCTAGTCAAATTACTTTCCTTCTCTGAACCACAGTTTCCTCATCTTTAAAATGAGAACAACAAACTAACTTGCACACAGTGTTCTAATGAGCATTATTACTACCACGACTACTATGAATACCACTACTGTCATCTGTGGAGGAGAGTGGCTACTTTACTGGTCAACCACAATCAGCAAATCATTGGCCTCTATTTAATAAAGAAAATAAATTGATGGTTATTATGATATGTATGATTGCATGTAACCTAAAGATAACTACTGCATTTATTAGCTGTTCTGTTTTGGGTATCCCTTAACCTCTCTGAACCTCAGCTCCCAATTAGCAAAACTGGAATAAAAGTATTTGATATGTTGGCATCCACTTCAATGCTATATCTGTGCATGTGTGTATGAATATGTATGTATATATACATTTATTTATATACATGCTTTCCAACTTAGGATGAGGTTAGGTCCTGACATAACCATTGTAAATCAAAAATATCATCGGGTCAAAAATGCATCATAAATTGAAACTATCATAAGTTCCTCTACCTATTATGGGATTGTGGTTTCTACTGGATGTGTATGGCTTTCACACCATGGTGAAGCCAAACCATCATAATCGAGGGACCATCTAGATAGCATTGGTCTACATATGTTAATGGGGATCTTAACAAATTAAAAGTAGAAAAGCTTCCTCCTTATCCCCAGCATTAGACTCAAGTATGTATCCCAGCTTTTGCAGATTTTAATAAGTTGAAAATAATGAATGAGCCTTTCCTAGTAGATGGGTAAAAGAAAAGGGCTATTATTGAAATATTCTGAAACACAATTCTATACCTTATAAGATATTCATGTTAAGGAAACAATAAAATAATATTTAGAAATTTTAATGTAGAATTGAACAAATTCCCTCTATTTTCTTTTATAATAAGAAAGATTATATTCCTGGATGTTTGAATGACACTGTGAAGTCTAAAGGCTAGTAATGGACATAATCCCGCATTATTAAAATGTTGTTTCTGTATTATTATTAAAAAATATAGAGACTCTCAATACATGATAATGAATACGTGGTGTGCTTACGTTTTCTTATATACCGTGGGATAAGCATAATTTGAGAAATGAGAGGCATTTCTTTAAACAATAGACTGTGCTTTATTCACCTGTCTTAGTCTAAAAAGGCTATATGTTGCTGTCAGTCACAGCAAACCACCCTCTCAGTGAATAAGGAGATAATAGTATTTGAGGTAAGGATAGAAGACCTTAGACTTTGCAGAATTCTTTTATGTTTGCAAAGAAAAATTACCTCGATAAATTATAAGCTTATGGATTTTTGTGTCCTTAACTCCTCATATATTGAGGAAGCTAAGAATTATTCTAAACTTGGCAAATTTATTTGGTCAAAATATTCCTCTCTATTCCATCAAGTAGTAATGGAATTTAACAAACACACCAGGAAGAAAAATAGCAGCATTGAAATGTTTTATTGATCCGTAAGGATGACCAGCTCTACCAAGACTCGAAACCGTTTCACAGAAGGAATTTTTAGTTAAACTATTCTTAACAATAGGAAAAACAAGTTATTTCTTTTAAGATTCTGTAGAGATTATAGAGCTTTTTAAAATCAAATAACCTCTTTTCTCTGAAAAATTTTAAAGAAAAATCAATTTTTTACAATACACCTGCTGAATTATTGCAGGGCATATTTGGTAGCTGCTAATCTTTTAACACAAAGAAGAAACTTGTAGTTGTTAATGCTTCTAGGAAGTCAAGCTGCTGAATGGAAAGTGGTTTTTAGAGTTCAGATTAGGCTTTAATCTTTGATGTCCTGCTGGGAATATTAGGAGATGTATGGGCATGGTTGAGGAGAGGTACACTGATAGAAATCAACTACGACTTTGATAATTTTTTTCAAGAATCTTATTAAGTAACCCAGACAGAAAAGGTACATGAAATGTTACCAGGCAGATTCCTGATTTCATATTATAAATACTGAATAGGTATGACTTGAAATAAATTTTAATCAGTCACTACTTACATATTCGTACCTAAAATTTGGGTAATGGTACCATTTGATTCTATCATAAGGAATCAAGCCTCTTGTGTGTTATAATCCAGGATCTTTAGGTCAAACCTCTTCCTTTTGTGAATTAACCTGAAAATCCTGTCAGATCTTCTAATTACGGTGATATAGGGAAGTTTAATAGGAAGTCAGGATTCCCTTGACCTCTGAGATTTCAGTGTTTGGCGGAGTACCAAGCTCTCTGTTTCACCAGCTACTGCAGAGTCTTATGACATACCCAATGGTTGAATTATAAGTTATGCCCCTGAATACATCTAACCATGACATCCTCTCACTAGAAATGTACATATGTATGTAGATACCCAGACTGATGCTCCAAGGAAATGTTTCTAGATTGAAAGGGTGGGAGTGGGCATGAAAAAATGTCCTTTCTGCTTATTTATCTCAATGTCCATGGAGGTAACTATTTATAATGGAAGGACTGAGGGTAACCCCAAGAACTCTTGATTATAATGATGCTCTCTCCCTCCCTCCATGCCTCCCTTCCTCCTGCCTCCCTCCCTTTCTTAAGCAAAAAAGCAACAGGAAATAAAGAAGTGAATAAAAGTTGTCTCTTTTCCTAAAAATATACGTCACTTAGTGAACACATCTCACCCCTATTTTGATTTACGAATAAGGACAACTTAAAAACTATCTTCTAATATGAAACACCTTAACACTAAGACCTTGCAAGGTGCATCTGTTCTTTTTATCCTGGAGATTAAAAAATAATTTACAGACAAACAGTTTGGGTGTGAAAATACTTAAAATGAACAACTTTCATTATCTTTTAAGAAATCATGACGGAAGTTCTGGTGAATGTCTGTGCTAACCTGAAGATATTGAGAAAGTATTTTAGGCAGATTCTGTTTTATCTGTTACTTCATATCATATCACTCCCTTATTCGGTGGCTTAAAACAACGATTTTATTTCTCATGATTCTGTTGGTCAGGAGTTCAGGTGGCTTGGTGGGCAGTGCTTCTGGTTCAAGTGTGTTGTTTATCTTGACTGCATTCATCCGGTAGCTGGAAGGTCAGGAAGACTTCACTCATATGTCTTGTATATTGTTGCTTTTTCATATGACCTCTCTTTCTTTCTCCACATGGGTAGTTTGAACTTCTTCATAGCATGGGTCCTAGCATCTCTTACCAGGAAGTTGCCTTCTAAAAGGGATTATTCCAAGTACCGAGGGAAAAAAACCCCTGCAGATCTCTTAAGAATCAACCTTAGGAGTTATGGAGCCTCTTTTCTGCCATATTTCCTTGGTCAAAGCAGGACACAGGAGCAGCCCAAATACAAAAGGAGGAAAAATGAATTTCTTGTTTCCATAAGAGAAATGGTAAGGACTGTGCAGTCATCTCGGATCCACCACAGACTATCATTGGCTAAAACAACAGAACTGTATCTGGATACAGACATTCACTATAATAGAAGCATGTGGATGATTTAAGAACGTTTGAATGTTAAAAATATTATAAGGATAAAAGCGATGTCATGATGTCAGTGCTGTATTCAGCCATAATTTTTCAACACATACCGTTAGCCATAATCTATCAACACATGCAGACAAGTTATAATTTATAGAAAACAGTCTTTCATGTGCAGTGATGCTTAAAAAGATAAGAATTTACATTTTCACTGTAAAATAGAAATAAATATAAAGCAATCACCTTTATATAGATGTAGTTATAAAATATATTTATTTGAGAATAAATCTAATGTACCGCTTGGTTGAAAAAGATGGTATATTCCAAATAATCTTTTCGCTTCAGGGAAATTATGACCATCTAGAGTAATTTTGTGTCAAAAATTAAAATATACAGCTAGACTTCTCAGAAGATGTGTATTTTAAGGAAGGGACAAGTACACAGAAGTTGGTTATTATGGCCACAAAGATACTTTAGTTGTGAGATATAATTACATTAATGAATTCTGCCACTGTGAAATCCTTGATGTTGTCACATTTCAGGCTGGAAGAAGTAATTGATCTGGGATTGGTGGGATTCCAAAGATTTCACAGAAGAAAGCTTTTTCAGATGGTTGGGGGAATAATCAGGGAAAACAGTCTTTGGGGTTATCAGGAATATAATATAATTCTCTATGAAATATCTTTTTAAAATTATTCCAGCCCCTCTTTGGGCATTAACAGTGCATGAAAGTATCCTGTTCTCAGTGATCTAACCTTTTTAAAGGTACTCCAATGCAAAGGACTTTAACGCAAAGTGTAGATACTCCTTTCTATGGAATATAACCCTAGTCATGACAAGTTTCTCCTTTGTTTACTCCTTGGAATAAGTGAAGGTGATTTAACTCAGAGAGGAAGGTAGGGAAGCTATTTCAGAAGGAAGATACCTCCCTAACCTGAGTGATGGGGGTTACCTTTCCTTTGCTTCCCACTCCTCCACATTGCCTGTTTTGCTTAAAATATGACTTCATCCCTTTTTCTTCTTTTGTTGTCATGGGATATTGGAATGTAGGAACCAGGATGTCCTGAGTGGTAAACTTAGCTCCACTACCTGAGAAGGACGATGTGGCATACACCCACCCCATGGACAACAGGCTGCTGGGACTCCTTTTTGGAAACATGAAATATTTACACGCACACACACACACACACACGTACGTGCATGCGCACACATGCACACAGAGGCACGCACATTAACTAAGGGAAAATTTTTACTTTAACACTTCCCTTGGAATAATAAGCCTTGTAGAACTAATTGTGGCCAGATTTTATTCAAAGCAGAAAATAACATAGAGGAAAATTACCTACTGCTGTAATGTGATGGTTTTGTACTCCAAAATGAACATGAGAATGTTCATTCATTTTTTAGAGATAGGTTTTTTATTCACGGTATAAATTTTGTGGAAAAAAAAAATGTCATTCTTCCAAACTGGTTGTGACCTGTGGAATTTGGGAATAAAGCCACGTGTGCATTTTAAGCATTCCTACCTTGGTGCTTTGGGTTAAATGCCCCCCAGCGGTCATCCAATAGAACCTTTTTCTTGCCTCCCTCAGGCTTTGAAATTACCTGTTTACTGGTGTCTCTCCATATACCTACACATTTCTTGAGGGCAGGGACTGGACTTTCTTCATTTTGAATCATCAGTGAAGAGTTTCAAAAAATATGTGTGAATTTGCATTTGTAGTAGAAGTGCTTTGAAGAAAAGAGAGTTTGAAATTTAGGAGAGGGTTCCATGGCAATCTTTATTAAGTTGATTGGTATTTATAATATCTTCCAGTCTGTGGATCGTTTTAAAGGTATGCTAGGCTAGCAAAGCTGATAAAGTCAGAGTGATCTCAGATTGACAGGTGGGATAAATAATTAGACTTTTGGTATATAACTCTCACAGAGAAAATCTAGAGTGAGTTGATGCACAGTAGAAGGAAAAGAGCTCTAAAAGCTAGATCGAAAGAGCTTTTTAAAAATTAGGAAGAGCAAGCAAGGAGGAGGGGAATCCAGAGGACAGGAGGATGTCAGAGGGCTGTGTTTCATGGGGGCCTCTAAAAGTGTCCATGGAAAGAACGCTAGTTGCAGAGCTCCTGGGGGAGACAGGAGGAGAGGTGCACAAGCCAAACTAACAGGCCAGAGTGTTTTGTTTGCAACATTAGTTTTAACTTTAAATACAGCCAGTTTCTTTGGACTCGCAGCCCAGACAGGGAGAGGGAATAGGGAACTCAACGACTTCTTGAATAAACAATTGCAAGAAAGTCAGTAAAACCCAATGAGACCAATAATGACCCCACAAGGTAGGGCCTGATCCTGTGGGAGATTATGGGTCAGAATAAAAACAGTTAGTATTTTAAACGTGTGTTCAGTCATCTGAATGATATAAACTTTAGCTATTATTATTATTTCTTCACTATAATTTGTCAAGTGGAATTCTTTTGCTGCCTGATGAAGATGATTTGTGCACTTGAGCTGACCCTGTATTGGATAGGGAGGAAGAAGAGGTCATTTCAAATAGAAGGGGAAAGTAAAGAAAAGTTGCGTGAATATCTGTAGAAGACACGTGTGAAATCTTATTTCTTCTCTTTATTGGACTTTTACAAGACGATGGCAGCAGCAGCCAGGGATGCAACAAGAGTCACATTCGCTTTGAAGGCTGCCCTTGAGGAATGGCCCCATTTTTCACAACTGTACAGAAGTCATCTCTAGGAGAGCTGCAGCAGGCAAAGCCAAGCCGGCTCTAATTAATGACCCAGGCTAATATTGGTCTTTGACGTTCTTGGATATTAATAAATGTTAGATAAGAAAAGCAGCTGTTTATCTCTTTGCCCAATACACCTTCAAACATTCGTACAGGAGATAGATATCCTAATGTAAACATTTGCAGCCTCACATATTGTCGGGATCTCTGAACTGTGACTGTTGACAGCAGGTTGCCTTAAGTAATTGCAATGAGACAGAATAATCTAGTAGAAGCTATTGTCATCCTAAGTAATATTTTCCTGAGAAACAGTTATGAAAAATGAATAATAGCATTTAGTAATGCATAATGTGAGAGTCAAGAAGAATATTGAAGACAAAGGATACAATCATCATTGCTTGAGGAAAACTAAATTTTATATAGCTGTCCTTTGTTGTTATGTTAATCAAATTATAAAATAAGCGATAGTAGGAGAATAGCATTGCTGTGTTATAAAATTAGTTTTAGAATTAGATTAGTTCTGTGACATGAGATGGATCACAGTGAGATTATACCTCATGAGTACTCAACTCTTGTAAACACTACAATGACATCGTTAAATATTCCATGCTTAAAACGCACAGCACGTTAACTCCTTTATTTCAGGGGTTCGCTTTTATAGTTAGAGAAGGTTTTTTGTTTCTTTTTTTTTTTTTAACTTTTAGACTATACGCATACAATATATTACAGGTGCCTGTGACTCGCTCTAAAAATGTTGGAAGCTGAACTGCATCATATTCTTGAGGGAGAACTTAATGTCAAGAATTTAAATTTGCAACACCCATTAATGTGTATTTAGAGCATTTCAACAAAGAAATACATTTAGTGACAAAAGTTTTAAAGTATTACAGAAGAGTCAGAACTGAAAGATAACTCATGGAATTTTAATGTACCATTTTACCAAATGTCCTAAAAAATGATGAGTACTTTCACAAGTAAAAAAGTACCTAAAATTTATTATTGTTAAGAAACATTTTATGTCAATCTATGTTAAAACCACAAGTTTGTAAATTTCTGAGGAAAATTGCATTAAGAGTGTATGGATATTTTAGGATAATGATTAAAATAATCCAAGAGAAAATAACATAAATACAGATATTTAATGATATCCAATTCGGCATAGATGGATGTGGCTCTAATTCAGTGTGGCAGGAACTCCAGAAAGCTAATTTTAACAAAAGAATGTAATCTGAACAATATTAAACATGTAGGTCACTGTATTTAGAGATAATCACTATAATTTTAAACCTATTAGTAAAGGTTGTAATGCAAGTGTGTTGTGCTAGAGTTCTCCAGGAATTACTCTCACTTCTCTACTGAAAAATATTAAAACTACCTTCAAAGATAAAGCTGATTACAGCATAACAAAGCAACTCACTACCACCTCTACTTCATAATAAATACACCCCACATTGTTGTGTTAGACATGAGTTTCACACAATTTATTGATTAGTTGAACTTTTAAAAAGTCTATTATGTTGACTTCATGTCTAACCCTTTTATAAGTGAGTGGAAATAAGTTCTTTTATTTCTTCCCCTATTCCCTCACTCTCATCACTGCGGAGCTCCGTTGTTTTTATTATCTTATTCATTCCTGGTCTTAGTTCTCTTAGCTTTGTTCTGTTTTACGTGTAAACCCATTTCTATGTGGAAGTTCTTCTATGCAGAGAGAGCAGGAGTATATTCTTTATGCTTGGGACAATAAACATTTATAGACTGAACATTATACACCAGGAATTGTGCTAATTGCTAGATTTACATTGCTGGAGGAGACATGATAGTCCTCTCAGAGCCTACGGTGGAATACAAACAGAGCAGCACAGTGATTTTCTGAGTGTAACAGAGCATGCAGTCAATGCTCTGGGTGTCTTAAGAGCTTTGCTTAGCTTATCCTTGGTGGTAGTAGTGGAGGTGAGTCAAAGAAGTCTTCCTGGAGGAGGTGACCTGTGACCTAAAATGTGAACAGCAGATAGGACGAAGAAGGGGGAAGGATGGAAGGTGGTCATTTCAAGAAGTAGGAAGCAGCATGCTCAAATTGTATAACCCTCAACTGTATAGTATTTGTGGAAAAATTATAAGCAATTTATGTGACTATCATATACAGTTCTAGGAGGTGGTGTGTGATGAGGTAGGAGGAGCCATGTCATGGAAATTGTTGTCCTTGTAGGATATTCACAGCAGCTTGGGCTTTACCCTAGAAGATGGGGAGACAGTTGGAGAGTTTTAAGTAGGTAACTGGCATGGCTGACTTTACATGCATCATTCTGCCAGCAGGACACAGAAAGGACTTAGAATAGTTATATGCTAGGGTACAGCCTCTAGCCAGAGGATGTCGACAAAGGACCTGGACTCAAATCATGGTCCACAATTCTGCCAGGTTCTAGCCCTACTGAATTCAGAAGGTGGTGCAAAGATTCTTTTTTTTTTTTTTTTTTTTTTTTTTTTTTTTTTTTGAGACGGAGTTTCGCTCTGTCGGGCCTGCGGACTGCAATGGCGCAATCTCGGCTCACTGCAAGCTCCGCTTCCCGGGTTCACGCCATTCTCCTGCCTCAGCCTCCTGAGTAGCTGCGACTACAGGCGCCCGCCACCACGCCCGGCTAATTTTTTGTATTTTTAGTAGAGACGGGGTTTCACCTTGTTAGCCAGGATGGTCTCGATCTCCTGACCTCATGATCCACCCGCCTCGGCCTCCCAAAGTGCTGGGATTACAGGCGTGAGCCACCGCGCCCGGCCGGTGCAAAGATTCTTACAATTCATAAAGAGAAACAAATCCAGCTATGGAGAAGAACTTACTTTTTAGTATAGAAACTTTCAGATATTTATGGACATTTTTCATACATACTAAATCTTGAAGCAGAGAGCGACAAAGACATACATTTGTGATTCACCAGCATATACATGGTCGTGAAAATTGTGAAAGTGGATGGAGTTTTTTAGGCTTGGTTTATATTAATATAATGGGAAAGTGATGGTCCAGGACACCTAGGAAGTTTGGGAGTTCAATAACAAGGGAAGAACTTCCAGAGAGAGCTGGAAATGGAATCTGTAAATTTTAAAGCAGCTGGGAAGCAGGGATGAAATATAATGTAGTGGGTGGGAGCATGACAAAGCTCAGTAGGCCTGGTGTGGTGGCTCTCGCCTGTCATCCCACCACTTTGGGAGGCTGAGGCGGTCAGATCGCTTGAGCCAGGAGTTGGAAATCAGCCTGAGCAACATGGTGAAACCCCATCTCTACACAAAATAAGAAAAAACAAACAAACAAAAAAATTAGCAGGGTGTGATGGTACATGCCTGTAGTCCCAGCTACTTGGGAGGCTGAGGTGGGAGTATCTCCTGAGCCCTGAGAGGTCAAGGCTGCAGTGAGCTGAGATAGTGCCACTGCACTGAAGCCTGGGCAACAGAGTGAGACTATTTCAAAAAAACAGAGAGACAGAGAGAGAGAGGGAGAGAGAGAGGCAAAGAGAGAGAGAGAGAGAGAGAGAGCGCACTCAGGAGAGAAGAGAAATCTCAGGAGAGAAGTAAGTTTCAAGAATTTTGCTGATCAAGGAAGGAGGAAGACTAGGAATGGAGGAAACATGAAATTCAGCAGACTACCTTTTGAAAATTTTTGTTTTATATTATTTGTATGCTTTTCCTTCGTATTTTTTAGGATAAAAATAATTGAAAGATGTGTATGGGCTACAGGCAAAGAGCTAGTTGAGACTAAGATTGGAAATATGGGAGAAAACGGGATAATTAAAGAATCAGGGTCCTGGGTGAATGTCAGGTAACTGGATCTTTCTGTATAAAGAAGTTTGGGCTAATATCTAGAACTACATTATGGTAAATTTTCACGGAAATTAACTCAGAGGGATCATTTCCAGAGTAATTTTAAGCCTATAGAGATATTTTAAGAAATCAGGCCATATTTTAGGGTCTCTCAAGAAAATTCACAGACCAGGTCATAAAATACAATAAACGAAATGTTTTCTAACCACACATAAAGATCCTTATACTTGCTTATAAAAAGAGATATAGGAATTTATACTACACTGCAATACCATTTATCACCTTGAGATTGGCAAAATCCAAAAGTAGTGAATACTGTCATGGGAATTGCTGTTGGAAATGCAAAATGCTACACCTCTTTATGGAGAGGAATTTGACAGTGTCTAGTAAAATTATATATACTTTTACCCCTTGACCCAGCAATCACACTTTTAGACACCTATTTCACAAACCTATTGGTAAAAATATGAAAAAAAAAAGCACACCTAAGGCTGTTCACTGTACGTCTATTTGTAATAGTGAAAGACTGGAAACAGTTCAAATTTTCTTTAATAGTATTGTTGCACATCTATACAAATGCAATACTTCACAGCTATAAAAATGATTCAGAAAGGTAACTATACTAAATTTTCATCATTATATATGTATACACACATATGTACAAATATACAGGTGCTCCTTGATTTATGATGGAATTGTTATAAATAGCACTCGAACATAAATTTAATTTTCTCAGCAAGGCAGTTTTACTTCTATAGAAGGGTGTGACTTGCAGATGGAACAATGGCAAGAGCACCCCTGAACAAGGGAGGGGAAGGCGTTCTTATTCTACTGCTGTGTCATTCCCCTGTTGTCTAGGGTTGGACCACACAGTCTAAGCTAATGCCGATTGGCTATTTTTAAAGAGATCAGGGGTATAAGCCGGAGTGGCGGGGTGAGTAGTTTGGCAGGAAGGATGGTTACAGAACAGGTGACTCAGGATGAGCCGGGACAGAGCAGGCGACAAGGGGTGACTCAGGTCAAAGCAGGTGACCAGGGGAACAGATGTGAACTACTGATTGGAACTGACGGGAAAGTTATTTACTGAAACTAGAGCCAAGGGGTGAAGAGAACCAGGAAGTTAAACTTTAAAATGGAGCATCAAAGAATAACAGAGCTGAACATACTGACATACTGATTCTTTGAAGAGAAACTTGGGGTTCACTATATTTAACAATCCCCCATCTTGAATTTTTTCAGTTCTTTCTCTTCAGACTTCCTTAACATGACTTGGCTTAGTTGTTCTGCTTGATTCTCTAAAAGAAAAAACTTCTCTGAATAAGGTGGAGGAGAATTTAGAATTAATAATGTGGAGGACGTTTTAGTAAGTGCTGCCTCTATGAGTCTGCGCCCCAGCCCACAGATGCATGCTATGACACAACACCCGAGAAGAACGAGTACACCTTCTACGCTGCGAGAGAAGTAAGCATCGAGGCTATGATTCCTTTCCATTTACTGTACCATTTTTCTAGCCACCCTGTGAAGGAGGCATTTACTCCTCCTGAGTTTTTGGCTAACTCCTTGGACAGAGCAGTTAGACCTTGCAATGCCTTTGTTATACTTCCATCAGGGGTGGTATTGTTTGGATGAAGGTGCAACATTGAGTTTTCATCATGAGGTAAACTCCTCCGCTTTCTGCTAATATCATGTCTAAGGCTCTTCTATTTTCCCAAGCCCTCTGGCTGGTAGCCCCTAATTGCTCAGCTATTCCTCTAACAGCATCTCTACTGTAGTTAATAAACCACTGTTGGTAGTAATAAATGTAATTTATTCAAACTATGTTCTTATTAATTGTCACCCACCAAAATATTGACTTAAATCCTGCAGCTATTTGATCTTGGGTTTTAAATTCATCTGGTACTCCTCGTGGAACTCCAATAGCATCTATGTAAACATGGGGGTCAAAGGACCCATGTGAGGCACTTCTTCTACAATTTTTTTTTAATCATGTTGACGGAATCCTAGGGTGAAAGGCATGACCAGTTGAACTAGAGCACAAGTGCTGCTCTAATTACTCGGCAGAGTACCCAGCAAGAGTCCCCCGCAATACCACCACACATCTGCTAGGGGATGAACAAGGGCAGACTGGTGGGTAAGCTCTTGGAAGGGCTTGGTTTCACTGCACCCTGTTAAGTCTACAAGGAATACTCGCTTTTCCCCCGGCGGTGAAAGGCACCTGTTGAAGTTAACATCAGGGGCTGGAGGCCAGATGGCCCTCGGGGGCTGACCCACAGGGTTCAACCTCAGGGAACAGCAGTGAAAGAGTCTCGCATGACTCATCGCCCCAGGCTGTGGGGTTTTGGAAGAGAGCTACCATACAGCTCATGCCCGGTCCGTGAGAGAACCGCCCAAGTGGAAAGGGGATAATCTGGGTCTCTGGCCTGCCTGTCGCACATAACAGTCGCTTTTGTTTAGCGTGCGAACAGAATATTTAATCCATTCCAGCCAAGCATTTGTGTCCTGATATCCTGTTTCAATTGCTATAGTTTGTTTCAAATTTTTAACCTCTACAGAAACTACTTTGGTTTTATCATTGGGTTTATAACAAGAGAAGGTTTGGTTAGCGGAGAACTCAGGAGAGGAAGAAGGAGGTGCAGGAGGTGAGGAGGCAATGAAGCACATTTCAAAGGATCCTATGGGGTCCTTCCCTGAGACTTCTGCTCCTATACTATAGAAATGGCTTAACGAAGGGGAAGAACTCTGGGGAGCAGAGATGGTAATCTGTACTGGGTTACAGTGATTTATCTGACCACGGGGAGGGCTAACTCCTTTAGTAAAATGAATATATGTGGTTTTAAGAAACTGCAAGTACTAGCTGGGGCGGTCCATCCTTGCTCTTCGGTGTTTTACAGAGCATTGGACCAACTTCGGCAGAGAAGCTCTGCTCTAGGAGGACAAGATTTCCAGTTTACACTGGAATTTTCGTCAAACACTTCTCAAACTAACTTGTCCCAGTTCACAGATTTTTAGTCTGAGGAAAGCTAGGAAGGATAAAGTACTTTTCTGAGGTGGAGAGTTGCCTCTCACCTGGCAAATCTCCACAGGGTATAACGAGGCAAGGATCAAATGTAATAGTTTGAGGCAGAATTGACGTGGTTACGTTAATAAGTAGGTGACCAGCAATAGAGTGAGGAAAGAAGAAGGAGTAATAGAATAGATGAAAGAGAGTTACATTTTTCTTAGCTTTAGTTTGGTAGGGTTTTCCCCTAGGACTATGGCCCATGACTTGGGAGGGGGCGGCGCTTTCTTGACTTGAGTATTATGGGTCCATCCTTTTTCTGGTGTCCGGACTGTGGTTTCGGTAGTTAGGAGCACTAGGTAAGATCCTTCCCAGGCCGGTTCGAGCTTTTCCTTCTCTCCAGCTTTGGATGAGGACGTGGTCCCCAGGCTGGTGTTGATGTACTGGAAACTCCAGGGGTGGCACCTGTGCTAAAAGACCTTTAGCTCTGAGGGAAGAGAAAGTGGAAGATAAACCAAGTATATAACTTCTGAGAAACTGATCTTTTGTTTCAAATGTCGGGAGATCAGTAGTAGAATGTAGATAAGGCAGTCCATAAAGCATCTCATAATAGGATAGGCCTATGTCTTTTTGGGGAACAGTTCAGACTCTCAACAGGGTAATAGGCCTTTCTACTTTCCCTGATGAAGGTGGGTGCCAGGGATTATGATATTCCCATATTATATCCAGTACCTGGGCTAATTTCTTAATGGCACGTGCAGTGAAATGAGTCCTGTTATCTGAAGCAATGTTTTCTATTAATCTAAACTTGGGTATAATATTTTCAAGCAATGTCTTGACTGCATTATTAGCAGTTGTACTTGGAAAGAAAATGTCTTCTACCCAATGAGTAAGGTGGTCTACTATTACTAATAAATACTTTAGACGACCAATTGGAGGCATCTCTGTGTAATCAATCTAGGTACTTTGGAATGGCCTTAAGCCTGGACTCCTTCCCCCAAGGGGTAATCTTTTACTAAGCAATTGTCTGTAACCATTTGGCCAGGGTATAAATCTCTATGCACCCATAAACTCTGAGGACTGCATCACACATGGCTTGGGGCCCCCAGTGGGTCCCTTGATGCAGTTGGAACAAGATTTACCTCATAAGGGGTTTGGATAACATTTCTCTCAGTCTAGCAATATCCAGTTTCCTTCTGAATTCTCTTTAGTACCTATTTTTATTAGTTTTTAGACCAAAGAAAACCAAACAGCATTTTATATTTGACAGTGCTTCCTGTATGATTTTTATACCAGATAAGCTAAATTTCACCTTTATATTAGTGGGCTATTAATGTTAAACTCAATTTTAATAAAACCTTGTAGACATATTTATCCAATTTTAATGTCTGACCATAACATAAGATTTTTATAGACTCTTTTTAACCCTTTATAATTTTTGTTAAAGAGCAGGTTAGTGCTTTAAGAAAAACCCATTGTGCTTTGATTTTAATAAAAAATTAAAATAAATTTTAATTTATTTTAATTAATTAAATAAATTAAATCCTTTTACACGGAATTTCCTTTACAATTAACGTTTCAAAACTTGCTTAAACTTTAAAACAAAAAAAAAATTTTTAACCTTTTAATGTAGGTATGAATCCACATTCTTATGCCTCCTTACAATCCTTTTACCAAAAGTATATTTTACTTTCCTTACACACCTTGCAAATAAACTGTTTCTTCAATAGTTTTACATTCAGGAGGCCGAATTACTTTTAAATTATACAACATTTCTTGCATAAATTCCCTTTTATAACATGTTTCACAACTTTCACAGACAATCTTTGACATGCCTTAACTTTTTGACTTGTTGTAAACATCCCTTTTTTTAAACAACCAGTTAATTTACTTTCGGACAAGAATTTACCATGTAAGATTCTTTTTACATGAACTCTCCTTTTTTTAATGTCAAAGATGATAACAGTTCTTTTCCAAAGCAAGCTTCCTTTATGTCTGTGGACTAGACTGCCTAAGACCACCAGATTAGAAGTTAGGATAATACATGTTACAGTGTTAACTTTTAGCAAACTTTACTTTTGTTGAAAACCTGTAAGTTTGGGATTTTAATTAAAGAAAGGCTTTTCTGATGTCCAGGGCCATGGACAATAGCTGTTCCTTTTGGCAAGTGAAGATTATTTATACGTGGGTGATTAATTCCTTGTGGAACAGGTCTTGGTCTTTGCTATTAATAAGCCCTCATTCAGTCCAAATTTTTCCAAATGTATGGACCACTCAAAAGGCGTACTTAGAATCGGTAAGATGGTTCCTTCCTGGTTCTCTAAGTACTTTAAATCTTGGCTGAGTGCAAACAGCTCACATGTTTGAGCAGACCAATTATTAGGCAATTTTCCTAACTCTATTTCTACAAGAGTTTCTCTATCAATTATTGAATACTTATTGTGTCTTTTTCCCTCAATCACCCGGGAGGAACCATCTATAAATAAGTGTCATCCAGTCCTGAAGGGAGTTTCTCCTAGGTCTGGTCGGGCCTTTGTATGGTAATTAATTAAATCTAAAAATGTGTGCTCTCTCTTACGATTTGGATCCCCTGTTAGGAAACCTGCTGGGTTAAGTGAATTATCAGTGGTTAATGTTAAATCATCTTTTTCTAACAAAATAGCCTCACACTTTAAGATTTTTGGGTCAGTAAGCTACTTTTTGGCTTTCTGACTTAGGATAGTTCTGACCTTGTGAGGTGTGCTCACAATGAAGTTTCCTCCAAAAGTTATTTTTCTACTTTCTTCTGTTAGCAAAGCCGTTGCTGCTACCGATTGAATGCATTTGGGCCATCTGCGGGTTACTGGGTTAAGGAGTTTGTTGTTTTTTTTTTTGAGACGGAGCTTCGCTCTTGTTGCCCGAGCTAGAGTGCAATGGCGTGATCTCGGCTCACCGCAGCCTCCGCCTCCCAGGTTCAAGCAATTCTCCTGCCTCAGCCTCCTGAGTAGCTGGGATAACAGGCATGCGCCACCACGCCTGGCTAATTTTGCATTTCCAGCAGAGACGGGATTTCTCCGTGTTAAGGATTTTTGATAGGAAGGCTACGGGTTGCCAGTGGCCTTCGTGCTTTTGGGTAAGTATTTCTAAGGCTACGCACTTGTTTACACTGACAAAAAGATGGAATGGCTGCTTGAGGGGAAAGCTAGGACAGGGGCAGTTACTAATAGATGTTTCAACCTTTCCATCTGTTGGATTTCTGGTAATGGCCAAACGAAGGGGTTTGGCCCGTCTTGCGTGAGCTTTTTGTATAAAGGCTTTGTTTTTAGGGCATAAGAGTCTATCCATAGACAACTGTACCTGACTAATTCTAAAATTTTTTAAGTTCACAGTGTTCTGTGAACATTTGTGGAATCTACACGGCAGAGGACTAGAATGGACATTTATGAGTGATGTTTAACATAACAATGCCACCTGTTGGATACAGTAGGAGATTACTCTGTGTTTCATATTCTTAGACACTGATCTCAGCAGACACAGAATCTCGGGTCCCCTTTGGAAAACAGCATTTTATGAAGAGCCTTTGATGCATTATGCACAGGAGAGAAATCGTGGCGGTGAATTTCCTAGTGTTGGGTTTTGCCTGTCAGATAAACTTAAGCTGGGACAGTGTCTTTTGCAGATTTGGGGATATATTTTGGACATTCAGTGTGCGCTCATGATGATCACTGACTGGACAAACTTATGCTGATGAGTCAGTATTGTTATTAGAAGATGAGAGGGGCTCTGTAATTTGAAATCTATTTTCTACTCCTGAGACATTGAAAGGGATTCCAATTTGGATTCAATGTGGGTGGCTTTCAAGATAGTTCTTTTAAGATCATGTGATCTTTGCCCTTCTCACAGTTTAGTGTTGTCTATTTTTAAAGGGTGTTAGGAGTAAATGTTGTTTATGTTTAAGCATGATAATATAACCATACCTCACCGCCACCCCTAAAACCCGTAGAGACGAATACATGATAGGGATTGCAACTGTGGAAGGTAAACAAATAAGCAATTTTGCTCATTTGTTTTTTAAAAGTGTGACTATTTGTCTTGATAGTAATACCTTGAGCTTGTGCTTCAAAAATCTGTCCAGCTATTCTCTTCTGCAGACATATTCACACTCTCAAGCCTGCTTCTGTTAATGTGTTTATGTGATTGTTCTAACACGGTGAATACTGCTTTTGACTATATGTACCCAGAAATTATTATTACATTTTTTTGTAATTTACAGAAATTATTATTACTTTTTTTGTAATTTAGATAACGAACCAAACTTGTGGACCTTTTTTGTTCATTTAGAAGTGGTAAAGGTTGTTCCGTGCCTTGACAGAATTCTTAACAGCTGCCTCTGCCTTGGTTTTGCTTTATGCGCTTCCTTCCCTCAATGGCCATGGCATTGTATTTCGGGACACTCTTCCCTCCACAAAGCAACAGGGCAATTCTTCAGTGGATATTAGAATTTTTCTCTTCTTTTTCTGCAAACCCTGATGCACCCATACACAGCATATCTTTTGTTTTATTACTTCCAGTTTGGTGAAAAACTGGATTTGTCATGACAACCAAGTATTTAGTGGAACAGAAGCAGAGATAAAGAACACATCTTGAAAGGAATACACAGGATCAATATTTCATGTCCATCTGAAGTGTTTTCAGTGTTGTTGAGGAAAAAGTATACATCTCATTGAAGTGTCCTTTTTTTCCCAGGGACCAGATGTTCATTTTATTTATCAATTGTGGACAATCCGTCAAGCCCAGCAATATTTTTCCAGAGATTTCCCCCTGTGGTTTTCTAATTTATTTGATATTTAGGAAAAGAAGAATTGCAGCTGCTGCAGAAGAATTAGAGTTCAACTTACGTGTATGTGATCATTGGAGCATGTTCCTCCGTCAGACATTAAACGTTTAACAGGACACAGTAACTTATGCTTCGTTTGAATTTTGCATCTGCCTGCTTCTCCTAACTGGGTGAAGAATGCTGACAATGACCTACTGGATTAGTTATTCCTCTCCTCTATTTTATGAAATATTTCATATTTTATATTTCAAAATATGAAAGCATATTTTAAAATTACTATAAGACTATATTTATTTTAGATACTCTCCACATAATTAGTATTGCAGAGCTTCCTGCTTCAAAATGTATTTGTAATTTTTTTCTAATTGCACTGACCCATAATAGCTAAGATTGAACCTACATTTAAAAAATTTAATTTCCCTTCATGTTAGTGGGTAACTATAACCATAAAAGAGACTCTTTTTTTAAAAGATTGGACTTTTACATTTATTACCACTGTAAGTGCAATGAGATAAGGCCTCTGACCATGTTCTTTTGGAGATTGTTAAGGCATTCATGAATCCTTTGGAGCTGTCAGCCTGCACTTCTCACTTTGTCAGAACATATGGATGTGTGGGTGTGGTATGCAAGCTAACTGTCCTGAAGAAGCTTGTCAAAGAAATGTTTGGAGGAAAAAACACCATAACACTGAGCATAAGTTTGAATATAGCCATATACTAGAATAAAATATGGATATCAGGAAAGAGCTTCCTATCAGAGATTGCTAACATTGGAACTTAAATTGCATCTTGAAAATGGATTAATAAGGTTTAGCCCAGTAGTGGTAAGTTGGTGGACATTACTAGTGGGTAAACATTACATGGGCAAAAGTTAGTAATGGAATATTGAGGAAAGGAGTCTGGGCTGAGGAAACGAAGGAGTAGGCAAGGCCGGGAGGGGTGGCTCACGCCTATAATCCCAGCACTTTGGGAGGCCGAGGAGGGCGGATCATGAGGTCAGGAGATCGAGACCAGCCTGGCCAATATGGTGAAACCCCATCTCTACTAAAAATACAAAAATTAGCCGGGCGTGGTGGTGCACACCTGTAGTCCCAGCTACTCAGGAGGCTGAGGCAGGAGAATCGCCTGAACCTGGGAGGCGGAGGTTGCAGTGAGCCGAGATCATGCCACTGCACTCCAGCCTGGGTGACAGAATGAGACTCCATCTCAAAAAAAAAAAAAAATAGAAGTAGGCAAAGAGGAGAATGGAATAACTGGAGTTGGGAATATGGACTCATAAACTTACCTTTAGGAGGAGTTACTAGGAGAGTTTCACATCAGCAGTGGTCTAATCAAAAAAGCCAATTAACTCCAGCCATTTTTAGTCACTGTAATTTGGCTCCAAATTCAAGTTTTAGGGTAAGATATCTTATTGGCTGTATCTTCAAGTTCTTTAAGCATTGACATCAGATTTTCTGTAACGCCTTTAGAGCCTGCTATAAACCCTAATAGATGACTTTATCTGGGTAGCTAGAATTTGAGATACCTGTGAATCTTGGCTGTAAAATTTGACTCAATTTGCATCCCATTTGGATGAAGCAACAGGATATTAGGGTTTTGAAGTATGCTTATGAAAATAAATATGCTATGACGTTTGTAATTGGTATGATTCAGAATTTAATTAGATAAACTACCTAGCATTTCTCTGTATTTTCAGAATCTTATTACCAACTTTTGTAGTACTCCCCAAAGAGCAATTTCAGTAATTTGTAGTGTATCTCTGGACGTGATAAATGCTATTATATCACTGTGATTTGTAATAGCAGTGCTTTTCACTGTGAAAGATTTACTGAGATTTTCTAATTGACTTAGAGCATTGCCTCTCAAACTCTTTCTCTATTTCTTATTCACTGTACTTTCTCATCACAACTTAGTAATCATATTAATCTTGCTTTCTTGGAAATGATTCATATATTTGCATGAAGACTAATTAAAATACATATGCCTGTCCTAAATGATTAGGCTAAGACTTAAATGAGCAACTCTCAGCTTAAAATCCTCCAGTGATTCCCCAGCTCGCTCAGAGTAGAAGCCAAGCCTCTTATAATAGGTCGTAACACCCTGGTACTTTTCTGGATTCATCTCAAACACCCTCTTACTAATACCACTCAGCTTTATGGCACCACTTTTGGTTGTGGTGAAGGCACCAACAAAAATGTTTATTGTCTGAATTTGGCATGTGTGTGTGTAGTAGTGTATGTACTCACATATCTGAAAAATATTTACCCTTTAATATAACTTTCTGTCACTCTGTATATACACCTCCAGATTCCTCCAGTTCAGACATGCATTTGCCTTTGCTGTTTCACTGGTCTGGAATTATCTTCTCTCAGATTTCTTCATGTGTTACTCCTTCAGCTTCTTAAACACGTTGATCAAATTACTTCCAGTGATTCTTTCCCTAGAGGGATTTACTTAAAATTGCATCACTTTTTACTTATTTATTCTCTTCATTGTTTGTGTCTTCTCTCTGCTCATCCCCCCAGCCCCACCCAGACTTAAGATCAGTGAAGAAGATTTTTTTTCTTGTTCCTTTACATTACTAAATCTCCAGTGCCTATGTCAAACTCCAGCATGGGGTTAATAAATGTATGTAGAATGAAGGAAAGCCTCTTCCAAATGAGTGCTTACCATCATTATTGCCTCTCAAGAAGTAGATCTTAATATGAAAAAGGATGGGAAAGTTCTCCTTACCTTTTCTTCTAATTCTTTGCCATGCTTGAAACATTAAATGGAACCAAATTTCTAGATTTATTTCTATTTACATCTCCAAACATTTGCAATCCTTATAAAAAACATGGTAGAGGCTAATCATGATAATGTAGATAATAATAGTAGTAGTAATAATAATAGCTAACATTTATTGAAGACCTATTAAAGTTCAGATATAACTTTTATTATATCATTAACAAATGTTATTAATTTAATAAAACCTGTAATTAAATTTTTAACAAACTTCAAATTCTTGATGAGCAACTGAGTTGATAATCCTATTTGCCCATTTTGAATATGATAAAAAACAGCCACACTTACAGTAACTTTATTTATTTGTGTGCATATTATGTATGCATTTTTTCTGCTTGGGATCTGTTGTGTATTTGTATGGGGATTTTAGTATATGTAGTGTAGAGACTATCACTGTCAGGTAAATTCTGTTATTTCTTTTGGAGCCTATTGGCTTTTAAGCACTCGGCATGAAATATATATTTCAAATAACTATTAAGTTGTTATCATCTGACTTTTTTAAAACTTTCTACATTAAGGGACTTTTCATTACCTTATTTGAACTACTAGTTCTTGGTTTGAATGTAACAAATTCCTGGGAGGCCCGTTTTGACCGCAAAGAACAATGTAGCACTATCTTTTTTAAAATAACATACCTACTTACCAAAAGAATTGGGAGAAGAAATCTTGATTCATTTAGGATTAGACTAAAAAGTTACATTACTTTTTCTTTTATTCATTATCTTTTTGTTTATAGCATGTATCAAGACTGAAGAGATGATGATTTTAAAAAGATAGGCATTGTATTATGATTTGCTTTTTCTTCACTGTTTTTATAGGATGATTAAAAATATCTGGATTTCATAAGGCATAATTGACAGGTTGCAGATCTGAGTTGGAGCACATATCAAATAATATATAAAACCTTCTGCTTGATACTTTTGAGATCAAACATTGTCATAACACCCACAGTGTTTTAAAATAGGCCAGAGGACAGCCTCCTGGATAGCTGACCTTTAACCAACAGGAAGTATATAAAATATCTGCAGAGTAGAATGACTATATTCCAAACTTAGATTAGACAGAAATGACACCAGCTCTGGGTTCCATCACTGTTTCTGTGCATCCGTTGTTGCATCTGAGAAGCAGAGTGCTTTTTGTTCCCCCACACTTCATCTAGTTTGAAGCAAGAAAATTTAACAGTGCAACAAAACGAACTGCCTTTTCCAGCTGAACTCTATCTTCTCTGACAGATGGTTCGGTTGGGCGTCTTTTCCATCCAGAGCAGTGCTGTGTTTGAAGAATGAAAGCATTGAGAGAGATCATTTGTTGTATAGAGCAGAGTTTCAAATAACCATTACTACTGGCAATCTCTGCTGTAATTCCTGGATTTTGAGATAGGTGTACAAGGAACTCTGTGGTGAGATTAAACATTCAGCTAATTTTTTTTTCCCCCAAAGTCATTAAGTAGCTAGCATTTAATTTTTTATATGTGCAGATTAAAAATGAAGGTTAAGTACCAACAAAGGAAGCTCCGTTCAGGAAAACTCTGGTATACTCTTTGGTGTCTTTGGTGGAAATGACTATTCATTATGCGGAAGAATAAGACTTTATAAGAATAGTATTTCCCTAAGCAGGCACAGCACTTGAGAAGGTTACAGAATACCTGTTTACTCTGCTAACCTAATTCTCTGTCGATTTCTCTTGTCAATGCCTTTTGATATTTTGACACAGAATGTTCTACCTAGGACCACTCTGCTGAATATAGGTCAGGCTCTGGACTCTTTCTGAACCTATTCTCATAAATCGCAATTTTATTACTGTTTATACTTGTCTACTTGAGTCATTCCACACAATGGGAACTTATTTTTAATACTAATTTAAACCGAGGTGCTACTGAGTATCTTGCTTAACATATTTGCAGTTCCTGAAGACTTCAGAGTTTTATCCCAAAGAAATAATGCTCATAGAGAGGAAGCAGATATACTAGTTATTCCTTGGAAGAGGAAGAAAACAGGAAATGGATATTTGGAAACAAGAGAGACTTCCATGTTCCTCAATTCATAGCAATTATCCAGTCCTACTTTGGATCATCCTCCTAATCCTATTAAGAAAATAAATGAGACTCCAGGCATTACAAAATCTGAAAGGTTTTTAGAAAAACAAGCTACTCTGAAAGCGTATCTTTGGTCAACACAGCCAAACACAACTCACAGTTTTAAAAACACAGAACCGGCCGGGTGCAGTGGCTCATGCCTGTAATCCTAGCACTTTGGGAGGCTGAAGCGGGCTGATCACCTGAGGTCAGGAGTTCGAGACCAGCCTGGACAACATGGTGAAACCCCATCTGTACTAAAAATACAAAAATTAGCCGAATGTGGTGGTGCATGCCTGTAATCCCAGCTACCTGAGAGGCTGAAGCAGGAGAATTGCTGGAACCCGGGTGGCAGAGGCTGCAGTGAGTTGAGATCATACCACTGCCCTCAAGCCTGGGCTACAGAGTGAGACTCTGTCTCAAAATAAAATAAAGTAAAATAAATAAAAACATAGAACCATTTGGTGATTCCTTTAGAGACAGGTCGGATTTTTCACATCACTTCGCAGTCGATGAAGCCTTAAACTAGGACCTACTAATTGTGTCTAGACATAAACAGAAGAGGAAATGAGTCCAACAAGAGGAAACAAGAATGATTCTTTGTCAAGTACACTATTTCTTTTCAAGAGCTCATGTTATCCTCAAGTTATATGGAAATCCTTTCTTGAAAAATGACTCCACCTCCTGCTCTGTATGTGCTCCCAGCCCCTCCTTCCACAGTGGAGCAGTAAGAGAGTGAAGGCTTTATGTGTCCTCAAGAGCAATGATTTTGCAAATTCAGAATTGCTACTTCCTCAGGAAAACTTGAAGTTAAAAAAAAAAATCCTTATTTGAAGAAGGAAAACATTAGGGCATTATCGGGTGAGAACGTCTCTCATTTCCTCTCACACATTAGGGTCTTTCTTTGAAAAGTAGTGTTTTTATGTCTTAGGATGAGGGTACTGCATGATTCAGGGTTCTCAATTTTGTGTTAAATTAATATCTGTGCATTCTTAAGATGCTATTTATCAAGGTGGTTTTACATTTGATCAGAACTCAGCCACAGATGCATTTTCATTATTTATTTTTATAGAGATGTAGTCTTGCTGTGTTTTCCATGGTGGTCTTGAAATCCTGGCCTCAAGGGATCCTCCTGCCTCAGCCTCCTAAAGTGCTAGAATTACAGACATGAGCACCCATGCCTAGCCTACATTATATAATTAATTAAAACTTTAAAGCAATAAAGGCTACTGAATTTTAAGTTAAGCAATTTTCTATGACCTAGAAACATAAAGTAAAATCACTCTAGTTTGTCACAAAATGAAAAATATATGCTAATTAAGAATCAGAAAATCATGGCTTTATGGAATTGAACATATTTTCAATTTGCTGATTAAACTCCCTGGGAATTTTAAAGTCATCTAATTCAGCTTCTTATTGAGAATTTTCTCTTTTAATTGGACAGCTTTGGTCTAAATACTTCCAGTGGACCTACTTGCCTCTACTTTTCGAGGAAAGTCTATATCAGAGACACTTGTATTATTTTAATGTGTTTCATAATTTTGAGAATACAAAATTGGATTCTGCATAGCTTTACTTGCTTTTCATATTTCTCTATGTAATGGGGATATTTTTGAATTCTAGAGCAGCACTGTCCAATAGCACTTTCTGTGATGAGTAAATGTTTTATTTCTGTTTAATATGGACATGTGGCTAATGAGCACTGGAAGTATGGCTAGTGTGACTGAATTACTGAATTTTGGATTTCATCAATTTTTAACTAAATTAAGTTGAAGTAGCCACACAAGTCTTCCATATCGGCATAGTTTTAGAAATATTGTTTTCATCAAGGACAGAGAAAGAAGAAAATACCTTTCTCTTGTTTGACTGCCTAATGGGCAAAATTCCTTTTACAAACGTTGAGAAACAAACAAACAAACAAAAAACAACAACAACAAAAAATCTTTTGGAGTTAATGCTTATTTTGCATAGAAATAAAGGCATAAAGGAAATTTCAATATATGGCCAACTCAAGTTTAGAAAACAGTCAGCTCTCTATGGTAACTAACCAAGGAAGAGATGAATAAGGAAGGTGTAGAAGGTGGGGAATAAGACCTGCTTACCAGCTTAAGGACAACTGAAAAATGACAAGAATTCAACTGCCGTGTCCAAGACAATGTTTTCTGCAAGAATGAGTGGATTTTAAGTACAAGGAAGAGTGTTGGCTTGAGTCTGGTCTTACTATGTTTTTCCCTCTCCAACCTTATTTTTTCCCAGGTTGTTGACAGTGTGTAATTTCAATAGATGCTCGGCACTTTTCTCACATCTCCACTGGAGATGAGCTTTATACAAGTGAAAGTGCTACTGAGATGGGAAGATGTTAGATAATGGCATACGTGCTTCTTTTTTAATTTTTTCTATGATTTGCCTCCATTCCTTAGGTCAGCATGAACAGATTGGAGAGGGAGATGCTGAGTGTGTCATACTGAACTGAGCTAAATTGATCAGAACTAAGGGTGATATGCTCCCAAACTACTACCCTATCCTATTTACAGCTTCATCTAACTAGTGAAGTAATTTTTCTACCTCAGGAAAATTAAAAAGATCCACACATACACCCCCACACCCAGACATACACATAGACACATGCACACAAATCCATGAAGTTGGCACTTTGGCTTTGACCTCTCATGATCTTCTTGACCTCTCTATGATCTGCCTCAGCCTCATTTTCCCTGTCCAAACACAAAATATTTTATACTATCCAATATATTTTATTATGGATTTTTTCTTGTTAAATTTCCTTTTCTCCTATCTATTCAATCAAAATTCTTTCCCTCCATGGAGAGGTTTCCCTAACAATAGACTTCTACCTAATTTTCATATTAAAGTAACTTATACTTAGTTGTGAGGAAGTTCTCTAGGTTAAGAATAAATATCATAGAGAAACTTTATTGTCAAATGAATACCTAAATGACAAATTTCTGTGGCGATGGGCGAGTTTAAGCAGAAGAGACTCCCCCTCACGTTCTATGAATTTTCTTCAGTTATCCTGATTTGACTTGATTTTAGGCTACTTGTGAAGAAATAGAAATTTTACTAATTAGTGAAATGTCTTCTACAGTTAAAAATCCATTAAACCTTTTCTGTCTATTTCTGATGTGCAGTTCTGCAAAAACTGGGCCCTCTTAAAAGGCTAAGTGACCGCTTTTAGTTTAGGTGAGATATAAAAACACAAGTAGCAAAGAAAGTAATTTACCTTTGTCTAGAGAATTTATTCTCTAAATATGCACAAAGAATAGGCCATATGTCAGACTTTGTCCTTAGAATTCACGGGAAGAAGGAAAAAGACTAAGCCTCTAGCCTCTTGCTATTGACAAGAGCAATAGATACTACATGGATTATATAGACCTTGCATGCAGTTGTGATGAATTCGTTGATAGTAACAGAAAAAAAAATAGCCTTTTGACAATGCCAGCACTTTACAAAACATTTTAGTCACAACTCTAATAGCAAAACAACCACTAAAGCAGATGTTACCACCCTCATTTTAGAAATGGGAATCTGAGGCTCAGGGAAATGGCCTCTGTGGATGAAAACTTTAGGTTTTGTTCCTGGCAGTAGTAACAAAAAACCAAACTCACTAAACAGGTCATAAAAGTAAGGAAGCAACTCAGTTTCATCTGTCTGCCTGTTCTGTCAGATAGTGACAGCTCCTCCCGTGGGGAGCAGTGAATACATGAGTGAGAAGACTTTTTAATAACAGCCATTCTGACTGGTGTGAAATGACATTCATTTTGGTATTGATTTGCATTTCGCTGATTAGTGATGTTAAGTATTTTTTCATGTTTCTTTGGCCACTTTTATGTATTCTGTTGAGAAATGTCTGTTCATGTCCTTTGCCCATTTTTTAATGGGGTTGCCTTTTGCTTTTTGATTTGTTTAAGTATCTTATACATTCCAGATATTAGATCTTTGTTGGCTGCATGGCTAGTGAGTATTTTCTCCTATTCTGTAACTTGTCTGTTTACTTTGTATATAGTTTCTTTTGCTGTGCAGAGGCTGTTTAGTTTAATTAGGTCCTACTTGTCAATTTTTATTTTTGTTGCAGTTGAATTTGGGGACTTAGTCATAGATTCTTTGCCAAGGCCAATGTCCAGAAGGGTATTTCCTAGATTTTCTTCTATAATTTTTGTAGTTTTAGGTCTTACATTTAAGTCTTTAATTCATCTTGGGTTAACTTTTGTATATGGTAATAGGTAAGAATTTAATTTTATTCTTCTGCATATGGTTAGCCAGTTATCTCAGGATCATTTATTGAGAAGGGAATTTTTTCTTTATTACTTATTTCTGTAGACTTTGTCAAAGATCAGATGGTTTTAGGTGTGCGGTGCGGCTTCAGTTGGTGGGAATGTAAATTAGTTCAGCCACAGTGGAAAGCAGTTTGGAGGTTCCTCAGAGAACTAAAAATAGAACTACAATTTGACCCAGCAATGCCATTACTTTGTATATACCCAAAGGAAAATAATTTGCTCTACCAAAAAGACACGTGCATATGTATATTCATCACAGCATTATTCATAATTCCAAAGACATGGAATTAACCTCGGTGCCCATCAGTGGTGGATTGGATAAAGGAAATGTGACACATATACACCATAGAATATTATGCGGCCGTAAAAAAGAATGAAATCATGTTCTTTGCAGTAACGTGGATGCAGTTGGAGGCCATTATTGTCAGCAATTTAACATGGAAACAGAAAATCAAATACTGCGTGTTCTCACTTGTAAGAGGGAGATAAACATTGCATACACAGACATAAAGATGGGAACAGTAGACACTGGGAGCTGGAAGAGGGGGAAGCAGGGAGTGGTACAAGGATTGAAAAACTGCCTTTGAGGTCCTGTGCTCACTACCTGGGTGATGGGTTCAATTGTATCCCAACTTCACCATCACACAATCTATCCTTGTAACTACCTGCATATGTACCCCTTGAATCTAAATTAAAAGTTGAAACTAAAAATGAGTAAGAATCTGAAAAGAGGAGGAGCAACTTCTCACTTCAGGGAAGCTTTCTTATGGGAGTATGTTTTATACACACATATACATGGTATGTATATATGAATCTGTTTTATGAACATACACCTATTTCCTTACGGACTATGAGGACAAGAAAATGGTGTTTCCCTCGTCAGGTGACTGGGCTGCTACTTGGATTTATGTTTGGTAAATATGTTAGTGTGAGATAATGTACCATACGCCTCCAGAAACCAATTTTTTAAACAATCTATAGCACCATAAATTAGCATTTTCTAGTGTGACTTTCAAATATTAATTACTATTCTCTGAAAAAAAGTTTCATGAAGAGAGTTCAGTTCACAGAGTCCAGGTACATGTGAGAAACTGCCGAGTAGGTTCCTTCCTCAAAACTCTGAGAAGCACTGCAATAGAAAAAACATTTGATTTTGCTTAAAGCAATTTTCCCCATATTTGACAACAAAACCATGTCTATTTGCTTTTTTTCTCTTCCAAAGTCAAGCTATTGACATATTTGTTCTACAGAAGACATCTGAGAAGATTTTTATTAAACCAAATAAATGAGTAACATGGAAAATTTGAGCATCATAGTGGGATTAGAGAAACATTTTTGGCAGGGGATGGGTTGTGGGCAACCATTTTATTATTCCATTTAGCTTGGTTTACTCCTCTATTTATTGATGTCTGGTACTGTAAGTGTATAATTATTTAGTGTTCAGTAAATGCTAAGCCATATTAAATGGTAATGGTAAGATTAAGCATGTGCATGCTATTTGTCCAATCTAGATACAGGCTAGGCTCAAAGTATGATGTAACTTCAGCCATGCTGAGGGTTCTATAGGCTTTAATATTCTTCAAAGATGTTATCATAAGACCTAATAGAACTAGAAACAGAACATGAATAAACCAATATGACTGTATTGGAGATTTTTCCGATTGTCAACAAGTGTTTCGTTGACTGTTCCAGACTTTTAAAAGTGCTGTAACTTCAACATCCGAATCTCCTTTTTGTGTGCATAATAAACATTCCTGCTTTGTGTAATTTTAACTAGACCAAACGATGCTTACACTTCCCAGATACCAGCTGTTGAAGCAGCAACTTTCAAATGATTTTGCAGATCGGCAAACACATTATATCATTGTGTGTTTTGCAGCTGTCTCTTCAGTTAGCCTGGTTTTGCTTTTTGCAGAGTAACTTGTGTACAGTTACAGAAGAGTATTTGTTTTCCTCCAACAGTCTTGGCAATTAGTGCTTTCCTAGCTTCAGTTTTACTTTGGTGCAATAGGCACCCTGTATTGTGAACCGTTTATAAACCAAGGTAATGACTTGTGGGTTTTTAAAGAGTGCTTACTGCACCAAAAAAAAAAAAAAAAAAAAAAAAAAAAAAGCTTTCTCCTGGCTTGAGTGATTTTAAAACCGTTTAGTCAAATGTTTGAGTGCCTATTGTGTTTAAGGCACTCTGTAAGTGTTTTGCATCCACTGAGCAATACATAGTAGAAGTTAGTTGTATCACACGTAGATGGGAAGGTTATTCTAAGGAACACCACTTTTCAAACGCAAGAGAGCATGTCCCTGTGATGCCACAGAGGGAAACTCAGTGAGACTAGAGCAGAGTACAAAATCAGAGTATCTTATGGTAGGCGTGCAAGAAGTAGATTGCAGAAAGCTATGCTAAAGAGTTTGTAACCGAATTGAATTTGGAATGAATGGAAATCCTTTGGAGGATTCTTTTTTTTTTCAGGGTTATGCGAAGATCAGATTTGTGTTCTTGGTGAAAGATCACACAGTATAGTAGAGAGAATGAACTATAGGCAATCACATTGGGTGCAGGGAAACGAGTAAGCATACTATTGCCTAGTTATATAACAATAGATTGGCAAAACTGGATAGTAGAGACAGTGAGTCCTAGTTAGTTTTCTTAAATGAATCTATTAGCCGATGTACAGATATTAGATAGAGGACGATAGCATTTTAGAGCTGGAAAATCCACTAATCTAAGCCCATTGTCCAAGATATGAAAACTAAGTCTTGGGCCAATTGAATAATCTTGATAAAAGCTTTAAAGCTAGATAGTATCAAAGCTAGAATCACAATCCACATCTCTAAGGATACTTTGCTTTACATTATTTCTCTTTTTTTTTTTTTCTTTTTTTTTTTTGAGATGGAGTCTCCCTTTGTCGCCCAGGCTAGAGTGCAATGGCACGATCTTGGCTCACTGCAACCTCTGCCTCCTGGGTTTAAGCGATTCTCCTGCCTCAGCCTCCCAAGTAGCTGGGATTACAGGCATCTGCCACTGCACCCGGCTAATTTATCTCGCTATTTTTATTTTGTATTTTATTAACTTTATCATTGAGCCTTAACTGCATAGATTAAAAGAGTAACTTCTTTTAATGTAATTATACATTGCTAAAATGAGGTCTCATAGCAGAAGAGAAATGTTTAATGGCAGCTTCCTTTACCTCTTGCTACTTGACTTTGAGCAATGCATTCCTTTAGACTCAAAATCTGCTTTTTATTATTTACCAGTCTCCCTTATCTGCATTATTCAGTGTGCAAGTATTGATTTCCACTTATGTTCCAGGGACTGTAGCAGGTGTTGGGTGAATAATATGTGGAAAACTCTATCCTTGAGGCTGTTATGGTGTTGGAGAAATGGACAAGGTTGTGGGTGGCTCTGCAACCACAGTGGCAGGACGTCCTGCCCTTCTGGGGAGTTCAAAATGGCTTTCTGGACATGAAACTTGATTAAGAGCAGTGCCAACATCATCGTTTCAAATTATCTGGAAGTGTACATTTAGGAGCAAATGTACAAAGCTATAAAAATATTCATAATTCTTTTTTACACCTAATACTTGACCCTTGTGCTTGGCTCTGACGTGCTTACTCTGAAACTCTTTTGAAATTGGCTTTGTGTGTAGACAACAGATGAGTTCTCAGATCAGAAAGTAAGTAAACTGGCATGATGTTGGATTTTGGCTAGCTCTAACTATTAAGTAGTGATGACAAGGGTACTCAGCTCTGAAGCATTTATTTTTTATTTTAGATGACACTATCTTAATCTCAAAAAGATATCCTTTGACTTGAACACCTTTCCTCAGGTTTAAGCTGTAATCAAGTTAAAAAAAAGTCAAACATTCTCAGTTTCAGGAAGATATTACTGCTGTCTAAAACCTACTAAAACATATTTTGCCTATCCAAAAGGCAAAATATGTCTCTGAAGGGAACATGAGCACCTTGGCAGAAAATGAAGCTATTTATAAATCTTATTTTCTTTACTCTTTCATTCCTTAGTTGTTTTTATTGGTCATATTTAAGATATGGACATTTTTAATATATGTACACTCACAAACATATATATGCACAAACATACATACACATACATGCTATGAAATAATCTATAGCTAAGTGAAACATGAGACATCTCAGCATGTGAAACTGTAATAATCTCATTCAGTTACCTTTTGCTAAAGTAGACTTTATTCTTTTGCATTTCTATTATTTCTTTCTTATTACTTTTCTTTGTTTATTCTAACTTTCTTGTTGTCTGCCTTGCTTTAATCATTTTGTTTCTTCTCTTTATCTCCTGAGCAGGCAAACAAACCTCTGGGCAATGTGGTCTTGCAGCTCAGAACAGCAAAGAAAAAAAAATATTTAACTCGATAACTGCAAAGAAGAAACTGTGTTTCCTGGGAGAGGAATTATTGCCAAAGTAGATGCAAGAAAAATCAGCTCTGGCAGAGACAAGGAAGAATTACACATATGTCTTAAGTTTATACTTCCTAGATTTCTATCACAATGATAGTAACAAAGATGTGAAACACTTCATTTCTATAATATCTTAAGTAGGCCAGGTTCAGTGGCTCACGCCTGTAATACCAAGCACTTTGAGGTGGAGGATTGTTTGAGGCTAGGAGTTCAACACTAGCCTGGGCAACATGAGTCGTCTTCTCTTTTTATTTTTATTTTTTATATATATTATACTTTAAATTCTAGGGTACATGTACACAACGTACAGGTTTGCTACGTATGTATACATGTGCCATGTTGGTGTGCTGCACCCATTAACTCGTCATTTACATTAGGTATATCTCCTAATGCTATCCCTCCCTCCTCTCCCAACTCCATGACAGGCCCTGGTGTGTGGTGTTCCCCATCCTGTGTCCAAGTGTTCTCATTGTTCAGTTCTCACCTATGAGTGAGAACATGTGGTGTTTGGTTTTCTGTCCTTGTGATAGTTTGCTGAGAATGATGGTTTCCAGCTTCATCCATGTCCCTACAAAGGACATGAACTGATCATTTTTTATGGGTGCATAGTATTCCATGGTGTATATGTGCCACATTTTCTTTATCCAGTCTATCATTGTTGGACATTTGGGTTGGTTCCAAGTCTTTGCTATTGTGAATAGTGCCGCAATAAACGTGTGTGCTTGTGTCTTTATAGCAGCATGATTTATAATCCTTTGGGTGTATACCTAGTAAGGGGATGGTTGGGTCAAATGGTATTTCTAGTTCTAGATCCTTGAGGAATCGCCACACTGTCTTCCACAATGGTTGAACTAGTTTACCATCCCACCAACAGTGTAAAAGCATTCCTATTTCTCCATATCCCCTCCAGCACCTGTTGTTTCCTGACTTTTTAATGATCACCATTCTAACTGGTGTGAGATGGTATCTCATTGTGGTTTTGATTTGCATTTCTCTGATGGCCAGTGATGATGAGCATTTTTTCATGTGTCTGTTGGCTGCATAAATGTCTTCTTTTGAGAAGTGTCTGTTCATATCCTTCGCCCACTTTTTGATGGGGTTGTTTTTTTCTTGTAAATTTGTGCGTCCTCTTCTCTATTAAAAAAAACTTAATTAGAGATTCTAATGATACAGAGAGGAAGATCAAATAAGTCAAAACAATACTATTGAGAAATATTCAAGACATTTATGTTTTAAGGTAATTTGTTTATTTTGCCAAAAGCAATACATAATTATTTGATCAAGCATATAAATCTGCTTCAATTTTTGTATTATATTTTAAAGTTTAATATATAACTTGAATTGTGCTACTCCCTGTGAAGTTTTGCTAAAATATTTAATTATTATTTTACAAAATGTATTGTTTTGCAAAATGCAAAATCTTTTTCTCAGAAAGTTGAGTTGCTTACTTAGTTTCTTTTGTTGGTCTTACTGATTTTTTTTTTTTTGGTCACATATTTTAGACTTTGTGTGGCCCAGATGATAAGTTATCATTTCTCATAGGAAATCATATGGCCTAAACCAAAATAAAACAAAAGAATAGGAAGTCTGTGAGACAAAACATGGAAGTCATTTAGCATAGATAATACCTAGGAAGGCCTGAATAAATTGCCATTGGTTACTTCTTACCAGTCCTACAAGTTTTACTGTTTCTGCTTATGAGAGTAGTCATCTACCTTCCATCATCAATGCAGGCATATATTGGATTTAATAACATTTGCTCTTTTGCCTATTGAATTGTATTATTGCTGACATCAAAACTCTCCTAATAATGTTTTTTTTTCTTTTCTCCTTAAAATATCGGCTCTGGGAGGACACTTACCCAATTTTCTTTCATTTAATTTGGCAGTAAGATGCTAACGGTCCTTTTTTATTGACAGAAGCAATAACAATTAATACAACTTCAGTGCATCATTAGTTGACATGTTTTGTCCATATATTGTTTCAAATCTCTTTAAGAAACAAATGATATCCATATTTGAGTTAAATACAATGGTAGATAAACTAAGTTAGAGATGTGTGCGTGTGTGTGTCAGCCAATACTTTGAGTGTTAGAATTGTTTTCCTATTCATTATTTTTTGAATAAACAAGTAAATGCTAGTTAAAGCTATTTGATGCTGTGACTGTTTAGCTCCTTATGCAAAAGACAGGTCAACACCCTTGGATTTGTTGAGTTGACTGTGCATTCAGCATTATGCAAAGCAATGACCCAGGGTGCATGTCTTAGCTCTGACCTTAACCTGCAGTTACTTCTCAATGAAGCTCTGATGCCTTTGTCAAGTACTTGTACTTTATCCATAGATTAGCTAATTTTCAAGTTGTGGGGTTAATCTTTATCTGTGTTACCTTTAAACTAAACACTTACTGTTCCCTAAAGCACTTTAGTGCTTTAGAGAACATGCTGGAGTGAACCTCCCTGCCTGAATCTGTTATGTCATGACCCTTCATTACAGACTCTTTTGAAGATGTGAGGCAGTTTTATATTAAGCAAAGATTATCGGAGCAGCCTGCTTTATGGAAAGAATCAACCCAATGTACATGACATGCACCAGTGTTTCTCTTTGCCAAAGGGAACACACTAGTCACTCACATTAGAGATGGCCTTAAGTTACTATAGTCAAAATACTCCACTTTGGTCTGTATTTTCTTTAATTCAGTGTAAACTTTTGTGGAGCATACATCTGAAAAGTCCATGCTGGCACTCAGAGAGTTACTCTTTTAGCGTATGAGACAGAGTGATATATGTTGCACGATATTTTTGTGTTTAGAATGGTCATCTATGGAATGAGATTACAGAACCAATTTTCTTTAATTTAAAAGAAAAAAAGTATTTAACCTACTTGAAACACATACAAATATGTTAAAATAAATAAAAATAGTTATTTATGTGTATTTGCACACACAAATAGATAAAATATTACCTTGACATATTTTATTATAGCATAACTTGCATCAGTATATGTGTACATATACATATTGGGGCATATTTGTTCATAAATTCTTAAAGTAGCCTGGTTATGCATGCTCTGTCTTAAATGAGTTTAATATGTCATTATTTCACTTTGAGAAATGCATAGTTATTCACATTGGTTTATCACATATGGAGTTGAAAGAGTCTATTTTACTTCTCTTTCAGGATCATACAAATAGTTCATTTATATAATCACAAAATGGAGATCCACTCCATGATTGGCCCTGCCCATTAATATTGAATTTTCATCACGCTGTTATTCTTTACGTGAGTTCTTAAATATAACCCTGGTAAGGGCTATAACATGTACATTTGAAAGGATTATAAACTGTGATAGTAGAAAATTCTGAGAGAATTATAGGAAAGTCTTCACTGAGGACTCACTGGAGATAGCTGGGGTGTATATCTCCCCTTGCCCTAGGAGGATATCTTGCATTTTTACTTTACATATTTTGTCTCAGAATGAGTAAAAGACATACCTTAGAGTAGGATGCAACAGTGTTCTCGGATAGCACTAATTTAGAAAAAAACTGGGATTGTAAATGCAAATGTATTAGAGAACCATTTTGCAAATCTCTTGCTTGTAAGAAATTCCCCATATTTTTGCCCCATGTCACCCATCCATGGTGATTAATACTCATCCTTAAGCCTTCAGGTTTTGTCTTATATCAGGTATTCATGGAACAATGTGTGTTTACTTTATCTATCTCCATCCTGACTGATCATATACTGCTTACCTTCGCTCTTTTTAGACTAAAGTCTTTTTCTTTTCTATTTATTTGTTCCTCTGACACTATTTTTCTATGCAATTTTGTTTGAGCCTTTCTAGTAGGGGAGAATAGGTCTACATTATTGTTTATAATTTCTTGTGATCATTCCTTGATTTTGCTTTTAGTTGTATTACTGCAGTTAATATTTATGTTTACTAATATGCATATGCTTAATCCCAAATGATACTAATATGATTCATTACAGTGTACAGTATGTCAAGATGACTGGCAGGTATCTGATTCCTAAGTACTATAATGAGAAGCTTAGGCCTATAGTACTTAGACTACTGTTATTTCAGTACCTACTACAATCAGTAGATTTTTAGGCACATTTAAGAGATTTATACACTGACTGAGGTTCCTAAGTCACTGTTTATTTTATGGAAATAGAGGCAGGATTTATGGATAGAAAAAATCAGAAAAATGCTTTTTTTAACCCATAAAATTAGAGTAAAATAATTTTTATAAATCTTTAATATTTAGACTTTGGTTTTGTAGATAAATTCTGTGTTTGAGAAACAAGCCTTTCGTGGGTTGGGGTTGGGAAGCAGTCCTGGGGAGGAAACATAATATCCTGGCAAATGCGGCCAGTGGCCTGGAGAGTGCCATGCAAATTGAGAACTGAGAGCAGTTGTGGATGTGGAATGAATAGGGGTTTGGTCTGGGTGCCAAGTCAATGTAAGGAATGAAAGCTACATCCCATGAAGATAGTTTAGTGACAACTCTGGCTTTCAGCAAGTTGATGAAAAGCTTTATTATTCTAATTCTGCTGCAATTGCAGGAGTCCCTTCTGTCTGGGGGTTAAGCTTACCCAAGAGTGTTACTTCATTTCCAAGTCTAAGCATTAGGTTCTGATACATGGTATGAAATTGTTAAACTCTGTGGATTTTAAATGGCCTTTTGAAATTATCTGTATCAACCGAGGTGATGTTAAGATACACTGAGATCATTTTCAATTAATTGTACTTCAGCCGATGTTGAGAGGGAGCAGGTAGGGAAATATTGATCAATATTGCCATGGGGTATACATTTTATATATGAAATAATTACTTGTGTCACTGAACATGTGTTTGTCTCAAAGCCGTATGAAATTGTCAGAATCTGTCCTTTTTTCTGACTTCTCCCTTTATTCAATAACACTCAATGATCTTATATCATTCTTAATGTGAGATTGACTTTTGTCTCTAAGGAATGTAAAAGTTAGCCTGATTTTCTGTATCAACTCATCACAGGCACTGGCATTCCCATACCTCTCTTCCAACTGAGTTCTTGCTTGCTTGACAGAATTGTGAGCCCCTTGCTTCCTTTGACCCCCAGGTTTCCCAATCCACTCGAATTGACAATGCCTTTGGCTCTCATTTTTTTATCCTAGCACATCTTGCCTTTCCTGAGCTTGCTGTCCTGTTGGCAGCTAGACTGCTGTCTTTGTTGTTGATAGGACACAAATTGGGAAATACAGGGACAAAAATTTTAACCTGCTCCATTACCCAATAGGTTTGGTTTTTTAAATCTGTATTTTTACTTCATACAAGGTAATTTGCGTTGTGACATACCTATATGGTAATGACTGTTTGGTGGGTATTTTCAATGTTGATTTTCCAGAGTTGTCTTAGAACAAAAGTGTTGGCATTATTCTGTAGGCTGGTAAATACGTTGTGCTTCCATTTATGTGGTTTCAAAGCATAACTTATGATATTTGTCCAAATGAAGAAATATCTTTGTTTGTTTTTATCCAGCAGGAACTTATAACTTATTTCAATAATGAATTTTTAAATTTATTTGACCAATATGATTAACATATTAAGTTCTGATTTTAACACCAAAAAAGAAAAAATAAAATAGGCCATATAATTTTGAGCATTTGTGAATTTTATGGAAATACTTTAAGTTTTAAAGTTTTTAAATAGGCCACATGTCTAGTATTAAAAATAGTTCACATGTCTATTATTATTTAAGTCAAAAATTACAGAAGTGGGCAAAGATGTGGAGAAAAGGGAACATATACATCATTGGTGGGAATATGTATTAATGCAACCCCTATTGAAAACAGTATGGAGAAAAATTACAGAAGTGGGCAAAGATGTGGAGAAAAGGGAACATATACATCATTGGTGGGAATATGTATTAATACAACCCCTATTGAAAACAGTATGCAGATTTTTTCAAATAACCAAAAATAGAATTATCATATAATCCAGCAATCCCATTACTGGGTATCCACCCCCACAGAACTAATATGATCCAGCAATCCTATTACTGGGTATCTACCCCCACAGAACTAATCATGGTATCAAAAACACCTCCATTCATATGTGTATTGCATTACTATTCACAATAGCAAATATATGGAATCGTGCTAAATATTGATCAAAGGATGACTGGATAAAGAAAATGTGGTGTATATGCATACCGTGGATACTACTCAGCCAAAAGAGAATGAAATTATGTCTTCTGCAGCACCATGGAGGGAACTGGAGGCCATTATCTTAAGTGAGATAACTCAGAAACAGAAGTCAAATATCACATGTTCTCACTTATATGTGGGCGCTAAACAATGTGTACACATGGACAGAAAGAGTAGAGTAACAGACACTGGAGACTCAGAAAGGTGGGAGGATGGGAGGAAAGAGGGAGAAAAAATTACCTAATGGGTGCAACGTACACTATTCAGGTGATGGTTACACTAAAAGCCCAGGCTTCCCCACTACACGATGTAACCCGGTAACAAAACTGCGCTGGCACACCCTGAATCTATAACAGTGAAAAAAAATTTAATTAAAAAAGTAGGCCACATGTTGTTTCAGCTGATGTTTACATGGAAAAATTTGAATCTCCCAAGGTCTCTGGAGAGATAATGGAACTTCAAACATTTCAGTGACTGATTTTATAAACGCATATGTACGTAAGTGTGTATGTATATATATGTCTAACTTAGCATAATCAAAAACTAAGTCAAGGCTGGGTGCAGTGGCTCGTGCCTGTAATCCAAGCACTTTGGGAGGCCGAGGCAGGTGGATCACCTGAGGCCAGGAGTTCGAGAGAAGCCTGGCCAACATGGTGAAACCTCATCTCTACTAAAAATACAAAAATCAGCCAGGTGTGCTGGCGGGCACCTATAATCACAGCTACTCAGGAGGTTGAAGCAGGAAAAATCACTTGAACTCAGGAGGCGGAAGTTGCCGTGAGCCCGGATCGTGCCATGGCACTCCAGCCTGGGCAATGGAGTGAGACTCTGTCTCAAAAAAAGAAAAGGTCAAAAGCTAAGCTATATATATGTATATATACACACCCATATATAGACAAATATATGTGTATTTGGACATAGACATATACGTGTATATATGTGTATACGTATACACATATATACACGTATATATGTCTATGTATATTTGTCTAACTTAACATCAAAAGTATACACTACAATTTTAAAAGATTAATTACAGCACACACGTCAAATAGATATGTGTTGTGTGTTTTAGACTTATCCTTTTATCTGTCCGATAAGTGGGTATTCATCCAGAAGACCTAATTCACATATTAATTTCTCATCTTCTCACAGATAATTGTTTTCACCAGAGTTTTACCAAGACACTTCATAATTAGGAGTAAGGAATAGGTTTTGAACATTTTAGTTTTGAATCCTACGTCTGCTAATTACCAGCTGTGTGAACTTAGGATAATTATCTAATGGCTTTAAATCTTAATTTCTTCATCTGTAAAAGGATTAAATAATAGCTTTCTAATAATACTAAATGACCCTTTTTGTGAGTGCTAGAAGACATCATACATGGTAAACACCTAAAGAGTGCTCGCCACATAAGGCTCATTCAATATTAATTCTGTTTTCGTGGATGATGGTTATTATCACCGTTGACTCAAGAGTTTGGCATTTTTGTTTTAATCATTTGCTTCATGGCTTTACTTCCTTTACAGATAGCAATAATTGGCTATGCATCGATCTTTCCTCAGAAGCTAGCACATGTCAGAAACATAGTAGATATTTAATTAATTTAGGGTGAATAAATGAAGTATGCCACTTCTTTACAAAATGCCACCAGTGGGACTTGCCAGATACACATATGATCTTATTTTACTTCAATTTCATCATCACCTGTTCTAAAGCATCTGATCTCCCGCACATGAAAATTAAGCTTTTTGGAAAATCACACCATTGCGGTTGGTACTGATTGCTTTGCCCAAATTATTTTGTCTTCCAAAATACACTGCTGATTCACATCTTTTTTTTCTTTTGCTCATGTAGTTATTGATTACTTCTGTCTAGAATTGCCCTTGCCTGACTTACTTGTCTGATTCACTTACTTTTTCAAAACTCAACTCCAGTATTGCCTTATCTCAGACCCCAGTCTAGGCTTAGATGCTCCCACGTCATGCTCTGCTTCACCTACTTGTCATATGTTATGTGACCTTTCCTGTCATTAACTGATTTTGTCTCTTACTCATGAGATTGTATTCTTTTCAAGGATGAGCATGGTTTCAGTGTCTCAATTATGAATGTTTTGCCAGAGAGTTCTTAGTTCCTTACTAGGATTCAGTAAACATGTGTTAAGCTGAACTGAATATTGTATATAGACTGTACATTCTCAATACAGTTTCTTGACTTATATTCAAAAGGACAATTTTTATTTTTGCAATGGCCTACATAAAATGCTTCTTTAATCCCCTTGTAACTTTGCTGTAAAAATTGAACTCAAGAGATAAGTAGTTTTGAGGTTTTGGGAAAGGAAAGAAACAACGATTTGATTCTTCTTGAAGGGTGATCTCTTGTTACATATTTTTCCTATGATTTTAATGAGTGTATTGCAAAAAAGTTCTGCCGGATCCTTATATTTTCTAGAAAATCTTTATTTCCTTACTCCTACTTCTGTGTTGGTTTCCTTAAAACATGACATTTGAATAAAATTTATGCCTTAGGAAAAATGTATTTCTTTTAAGCTGTAAGGTTTCCAACATCGTACTGACATAGATTCAAAGGAGAGGTTCCATGTCAAATTTTGTACTTCAACAAGATCCTGTTCCATTCCAGTTCATTGCATCAGGCTATAGCTTTCATTTAAAATTTTTTCTTTGAGAATGCTGTGAGTGAAATGTGTGGCTCTCTTTCCATACCAGGAAAATCCTCTATAGAGTAGTGTATACTGGAAAGACTTATAATAAGATATACTACTGATTTCCCATGTCTAACATTTGGTTCTCTGATGTTTATGGGCTCTACTAATCAGCCTTGTGGTAATTGGTTTTCTGACCATAATTTGAACAGAAAATATTACTGAATTAATTGTTTTTAATTGAAGGAAAGTCAATGTAGTTTTTATAATACATTTTTACTAAGAGGGACCAATATCATATGTTCCCATTGGAATTAGACTCAATTAACCTATTAGTGTTAGATGCATAAATACCCATCCTCATACCCATCACACTGAGTACTTATTACACCCTACAACTTTTGTTTAGAGATAGCATGCATTATCTTATTTATCAAAGTATCTGAAGTAACTATGGTTATCCTTATTTTATAAATAATAAACAGAGGCACAGAAAGTTCAGAGTTACATTTGAATGAAATAACATGTTAAAAAAGTGAAAATAGGTTTTAATTTTTCATCCCAAGATGGTAAACACATGCTCATAACATAGGTCTGCATTGACCTCTCTATACCTGGAGGCTGAGGTTGAGCAATTTATATTTCTAGACCAAAATTCTCGAAAATGAACAAAATTATATTGCATTTATTTCCCTGCTATTCATTACATAATAGGAACACACTTAATTTTTGTACATGAATCATGAGCATGGTTCAAGATTTCCAGCTCTGACTCTAAATACTTTTCCATAATCATCCTACTTCTGTTCCGTAAGTGTATACACACACACAAACACACATATACAAATACATATGTATACACCTCCACTCTTACTACTGTTCTTTCTTTGTCCGTGGTGCTGAAAGCAGGAAGCTGTTCCATAAAGAATAATGACAGAAATTATAACAATAAAAGGTGCTGTACTTATCAACCATCAAAATGATGTTAATCATATATTGTGCATAACATAGAGATATTTGTATTTCTTGGTATATTACCCTAAATTCTCAATATAAAGATCAAAAGAACTTAATAATTAGGAGAATAAAATAATGTTAAATATTGTTAGTCACACTTTGAGAAACCAAAGGTTAAAAGACTAGCCAACATCTCACAGAGAGCTTTGAATTGATTGCAGCTGACTGCAAATATGCTGACTAATTATCATGCCCTTTAATAGTACTATCTTGCCTGGCTTTTATGTTAGCCTAGGGAAAATTGTCATGGAAAAATGTGAATGGCTAAATATTTTATTCAAATTTATCACCTGTCATCAACAACTAGAAATGTATGAGCCAGTTATTCACCCAACTACATGCTGTGGTAGGATGATGGCAGTGATTATAACAAAAACTACTACCATTTACTGAACACTTACTGTGATCTTTATAAGGGTCAGCTAACTTAATCTTTACTTCAACCTCATAAAAAATAAAATTCTTATTTTGGAGTTACAGAACCTTTTACATGGGGAGATTTAGTTGCCTGTTTTCCTTGGTATTGGAGCAGAGTTACTGTTCCAAACCAGATTATCTACACCAAAGTCTATGCTCTTAATCATTATTCTGTATCACCTGCTTCATTTTATACACTCATTGTTGGTAGCTATCAAAATTGTAGGTATTGTATTGCCATGACTGAAGTCTGTCTTTATGAGTCAGTGTGAAACAGTGATACAAAAAATAGTATATTTCCAATTAGTTACCTCGTGTAGATCTTCCGTGTGACCTTACGAAAGATACCTTGAGTTTAATACTATCCTAAGAAAAATAAATTCAGGGTCAGCATGGTGTCTCACACCTGTAATCCCAGTGGTTTGGGAGGCTGAGGTGGGAGGATTACTTGAGGCCAGGAGTTTGAGACCAGCCTGGGCAACAGAGTGAGACCCCCATCTCTATAAAAATAAAAATTTAAAAAAGGAAAATAAATTCAGAAAAAATTGTACCACAAAGTCATTTGTTTGCAGACAATTATGTATTGTGTAGATATAACCAGTCTTTGACAGACATGTCACTTACACTTTGGAAATTATTAGACTTGCCTAAACTTGTAGTTCATTTAGTTGATATTGCTGAAAACAAAACAAATCACTACTGTGCCTTTGATGATTCTTGAGAAGTTCAAAAGGGAAATACAACAATAATTTGCTACTGCTGTGCCATGCACTGCACTACATAGCTCACAGAATTTACTTTTAATTATCATATACCTTTTGCTCTCTATTTCATATGTATACATATATATTCATATATCATATTTATTTTTATATTCATATATAATATTTATATGTAACTAAAATATTATATAATCAGTGGCGAAGCCAAAATGGTAATCAGTGTATTTTGATTATAAAACATTAAAAATATTAACTATATCAGAAGTTACAAAGTGTTCAATTCAGTACAAATGCAATATTTGTTGCATTTATATTTCCACTTTTTTTTTGCCCAGAGTGTGTGTTTTGTAGATGTTGCAGTTGTTAGAGTTTGTCCATAGTATTTTTGAATTAAAGTACGTCACAAAGAAATTAAGATTTTTTTCTCTTGAAATATTAGCCATCTGGCTGTGTTAGGCTCATATTCATGCATAGATGTATTGACTAAATCTAGGTGTACTTTAAATGAGAATGTTCTCTTTAGGGTAGTGTAGTCCCCACCTGGCTCACTTCACTCATTTGTGTTAGCATATGTTCCCTGTAGGAATTCAGGTTTGTTGCTTTTGCGTTATACTCAAATGCACTAAAGCAGGGTTCGGCAAACCATGGCTCATGCGGAACAGCCTATTTTTGAATATAAGTTAAGGATGGTTTCTGCACCATTACAAGGTAAGAGAAAAGAGAGTTAATAATAAAAGGGGATGTGACAGTAACTATACATGGTCCGCAAAGCCTAAAATATTTACTATCTGGCCCTATATAGATGGCTGACCTCTTCTTTAGAGTATTTTATGGGACTTGTTTATTCTACACTGCCTCTGACTCTTTGAAAAAGATTGGTAGCATTATTCAATACAATCATGGACACTAGAAGAGATTTTTTCATGGCAATTAGCCTGGCCATCTTGGGCAAAATTAGAGCCTTTGAGGCTTTCATGTTTGTTTCTGTTTTTTTTTTTTTTTTTTTTTTTTTCTATGAGCTAAGAGAAAACCATGGTCTATAAGATATTTCTGGAAGCAAAACTAATAACCCCACATGGACAGCTGATTTCTGTGTTACTTCTGCTTTTAAAGCCAGATTGGGCATCAAAGGATTGCCTGAACTGTTCATTTGGAGCTATTTGTTTGAAGCTGATTAGTGAAAATGCTAAGTGTGAGTAAGCAATGTTACTTAAACTCTAGGATTTGGAGAGTTTTTTCACCAGAGGAATCTGATTTAGCTGATTGGAAGGGTACACTGATAGATTTCTTGTTAGTAGGAATTTAGGAACACAGGGGAGAGCAGGTTTAGCAACACAGGCATGCTGATTATGAAGCGTGGTACCACTTACGGGGGAAGAACTCTAATATCTTTAGAGTAAATGAGTAAAGAGGGCCTGGAGATGAATTTGATAATGTATACCTCACCCAAAGGTACTAAAATAGGGAGAAACATAGCAAGTAGCATTGTGCTCACCCAACCAGAGGCATCTCTAGCTCAATCAGTTCAGCCATGACTTCTCATTGGTAATTTGATTTGAATCATAATTGATATGATTTGGCCATGTCCCCACCCACATTTCATCTTGAATTCTCACATGTTGGGAGGTAATTGAATCATGGGGCAGGTCTTCTCATGCTGCTTTCCTGATAATACATAAGTCTCATGAGATCCATTGGTTTTAAAAAGAGGAGTTTCCCTGCACAAGCCCTCTTCTCTTGTCTGCTGCCATGTGAGACATGACCTTCACCTTCTACCATGATTGTGAGGCTTCCCCAGCCACATGAAAGTGTAAGTCCAACAAACCTCTTTCTTTTGCAAATTGCCCAGTCTGGGATATATCCTTATCAGCAGCATGAAAATGGACAAATACAGTAATCTTTGACTATTAGAGTAGAAGACATTCAAAAGCATTTTAGTGCATCTTCATCTCATGAACAGCATTAAAAAAAAGCAAATAAAATGGTCATAAAATTTAATTAATTTGCCCAAATTTGTCCTAAAGAGTCAGCATTAGTATCTAGATATCCTATTGCAAATTTGGGGCTCTTTTTATTACATTGTCTATAATTCCACTGACTTTTTTTTCTAAAGAGCATTATTAAAAAAATCAGTTGCCGATTGCTTTTGAGTAGCATACCGAAAGAACAAAGGTCTTAGGATTGGATAATCAATGTAATGAATATTTATAAGACTATTTGTAAATGGATTTTGACTAATACAAATAGATCTGGTAGCAATATTGTTTCATAACATATATCTGTGAATGGTGTTTTAGTATCTTAGGGGTTGGGGCTTCCTTGCTGAGGACTCAGCTAAGTAAGAAAGCCAGTGCATTATTTTTGGACTCAGAATAGACCAATGTGAAGGTATTAACAAGAGTAAAGACGGCAATAAGAGGGTTGAGCTATTTTAGCTTTTCCCTCAAGTAAGTTTTAACTTTTGCTTAAAAACATTAATTTTAAGGATGTCTATTTTGTTTTTGAGGCCACTGTGCCACCAGGTTATTTATTAAAACAATTAATGATTAATTTACTATTTTTCTGCCAATGAAAGAGCTAGGATTCATAGGTTTAATTATGGCTGTGTCAGTTGCTCTTTATGGAGGCTTTGGCAAGTAATTTAAATTCTGAATCTAACAAATTTCCTAAGAATGGATTAACTAGTAGTTCTAGGTACATACTGTAAAGTATATATAGGAAACTAAAATTTAGATAAGACATATTTGGTTTGGCGAGCTGTAAGGAGTTAATAGTTTTAATAAACTGTGTTCAGGATAATGTGAGTGTAAGATATGTTCAGCTGAAAGTAAAGAAAATGATTAAACAAAAATATGAAATAAACAACAACAAAAAGGAACGAGTAAACGAAAATGCAGTCCAGCAGCAACAATATGCTAGAAAGTTGGAGGAAACCCTGAAAAATGGAAAGCTGTTGGGACCAGACTAATGGGAAAAAGTACTGAAGGGGAAAGTTGGAATCTTTTCGAAGAAAATGATTAATAGCATGCACAAAGATGTCCTGGAATGTTTATCACATCAGTACGAGTCATAGAATTTGGAAGCAAACTTTCCTTTCACCAACACGTCTTGTTTTAATAAATCATGATATATCAATACTTTGGAACATTATGTAGCCATTAAAATGATGTTACTCAATTATATCTATTCATATCAAAGCTGCAAAATCACACTTAAATTATTCAATAAAAATTTATTTAGCCCCTTCTAGGCATTGGACACTATTATGTGTACTAGAGGTTCAATGATAAACTCAAAGTAGTCCTGCTTTGAGTTTATTGTCTATTAAATAGAAAACAGTCATCAGGTACATATGCAGATTAGTGAGTGTAAAGTTACAACTGTGAAAACATTCTTAAAAGCCTCATCTTAAGGAAGTGTGCAAAGTGGGGTCTGGATCTAATTGGGGATTTGAATGGGCTTTCCTGAAATCTGAAGGATGAAAGAATTGAGTTAACTATGTGAAAGTTAGGGGGTAAAAATTTAAGGGAGGGGAGAAAAAAGGTCATATGACCATATGGATTTTTGCTCCTTAGAAATTGAAATAAGATTTCTGTGGCTGGAGGTTAGAAAGTAATCTGTGAATGTAGGATAAAGTTGAATCAGAAAAAGGAATATTAAAAATTTGCTAGGTGAGTTTCTCTAAGTTTCCTCATATAAGCGAGATATTATTCACAGAAGCAGTGAGTAGAATGGTGGATACCTGGAGCTGGAGGGAAGGTGGGGAGGTTGGGGAGATGATCGTCAAAGGACATAAAATTTCAGTTAGAGGAATAAAGTCAAGAGATTAATTGTACAACATGGTGATTGTAGTTAATAACAATGTATTATATATTTGAAAATCACTAACAGTAATTTTTAAGTGTTCTCATCACATACACACAATAATCATGTGAGATAATATAATTGTAATTTGTTAAATTTAGCGTTATACAAGGTATATTTATTTTTTAAAATCATGTTATATACCATAAATATATCCAATTCTTGTCTTTTTAAAAAATAAAATTGCTGGGTGACAAATATTGAATGCTTACCGCATGTTGAACATTAAGAATGATCACACTAAGAACTCTCAATAGCTTTTGAGACAGGTATGAGTATCATTTGCATTTCTCCAGATAAGTACACTAGGATGAAACTAAACCCATGTCACACAGTACTGCCAGAGCTAGGGTTTGAATCCAGACTGAATAGCAATCACTGTGCTACACTCATCTTTTGGGTAGGAGATAGTCCATAGGTCTATTTTAAATGTTCTGGATTTTGATTTTTATCCTAAAATAAGATAACAAGCATTGGCAAGTTGCCATTTTTTTGATAAATTCTTAAGGCATTTGTGGGGAGGAATATTCAAGTGGAGAGAAAGAGAAAGTAAAGGAGGCCAGCGAGAAAGCTATTAAATAATGCAGAGGAGAGGTCATGATAGCTCGCTCCAAGAGGGAAGATTAGAGATGGAGGGAAGAAGACAGGTTGCAGAGACGCAGAACAGGTGAAATTGCATGGTACTCCATAATGGACCTGCTGGGGTGCAACGTGAGAGGCCGATCTCAGGTCTGTGTGGAGGATGACAACCTGCCTTGAGATAGGCAGCACTGAACAAAGGGCCCGATGACTATGAGTGTGTTCTTTTTTTTTCTTATTGAGTGCTTCGAAACACTTATATATTGAAGTCAAACCGCATGAATGTGTGTGTGTGTGTGTGCGTGTGTGTGTGTGTGTGTATGCATGTATATCTGGAACTCAGGGAAGTTTACTGAGCTGGGGATAGATTTGCCAATCATCTATGGGTAGTTAGGAATTAGAACTATGGGTATCAATGAAGTTTCCTAGGGACATACATGAATGAATAGAGATGAACATAATAAATCAAGTATTAATAGTAATTATTTCTCTGTTATAATTATAGGTATTCTTTGTGCTAGTTTTCTTTATTTGTATTTTTGTTTTACTTTAATCAGCATATATTGATTTTTGTGGGAAAAAAATTGAAAAAGATTTTTTTTTTCAATTGAGAAGAAAAAGTTTATTGTATATGGCAAAGGGTAGAGGAGAAGAGAACCAAGATGGACCCGGGGTTTTGTGTCTGGATCAAAAGGCTTTTCTCCTCTCATTTTGCACTGTTTACCCCACTCAGTTTGGCGCTACCTTTTATTACTCACTAGCAGTATCATTTCCATCAAAACTCTAATTTTTAAATATTTTTTGGACAGTAATGTTAGCTGTTATCAGAAGTTGTCAACAGAACTTAAATTCAATTTTACTTATACTTTAACATACAGGCTGCACATGCTAAATGCTTGTCACTTAGAATGCTGTTCTCATTAGTCTGGATTGCAGATTTTGTTGTCATGATGATATGTCTGGCAACATTCTCATAGTGGGTGAGCTCGACTGTCTAGGGATTATCTTCTATTACAGTTCAGTTTATCATGCTCTGTTTGATATGTTCTTTATTAAGAAACTTAATTACCTATAGTTCTAGATATTATGTGCTAATGAGTTGTACGTGTGAGTAAATGTATTCCGAACTCATTTTTGGCTGCTGATATATTTCTACAAAGATGCTTTGAGAAAAAGAAGCGATAAGATCTGCTTCCATTCTTGGTCAGAAAAGTTGCCACTTAGTCATAATGTGGCTTTATTCCATGTTTCCATGAAATTCATTTGAGACATAGTAAACTCATATTTTTGAATTTAATATTTGTAAGCACACTGTCAGTTATCCACATAGTCAAGTAAAACTTAGCCGTGAACAAAATCTTTGAACTGTAATGTCATATTGTGTCAGGTAATCTTATTCAGCTATGAAATACTTAATACTTTAAAAATGACACTTTATTGAGCACTTCTATGTATAACAGTGTTTAGTAAAATGTTTATTTTGACTACTTACTATAGTTACATCAATTTGGTATTTCCAGCAGTAGTCAGAGGAAGCACAATTTAATTAAATATGTGGATGGAGAAAATTGATTTCAGAGCAAAGTTTCTTGTTTCAGATTACTTGTTTGGATCTCAGATTTTGCGTGTTGTTAAGGGACTTACATTTGTATAACCAATTGTAATAAATGAAGATTTCCATGAGGCATATGGTTGCATTCATTTCGGAAGAACTACAGATTTCAAGTAAAACAAAACAAAACACAGAAATCACTGAACCAAGGCACATTTATTGAGTACAGACATCAAACAAATCTCATTTTTGTATTAAAATCTAAAAATTCCATATAAATAGCTATGTTTGTAGGTTGTTCTCTTAGGCTAAAAATAAAGACAGATATTGCATCTTTCATCAACCTAACATCAAGATATTTGCGTGGGACCAATCTTCTCAAGATTTGATTTTAAATTGTTGCTTAGTCTTATTCAAATTGCATGTATCCTTCCCTCTCAAGGTACATAAAATGAAATGTTCTGAAAAGACAATTATGTGAATATGGGAGATTCTAGGGACTTACAGACTCTACTAATTTTAGCAATAATTTTTTTCTCATAGTGAGGTCCATTTTCAGAGTACATTAAATCATGTATGAATAGTCTTCATCTTTCAGTAAAGAAACTGATTCTTCCAGTTGAAATTTAAACTTTCTTTTACTCTCTTTTTCTTTTTTCTGTTGTCAACTTCATTGAAATGTAATTTGCATACAGTGAAGTTCATCCTTCTTAGTGAACAGTTCTGAGTTTTGGCAGCTATATATATCTGCTGCCACTATTAGGATACAGAATAGTTAGCCCAAACTCCCTCTTGCCCCACTTTAGTCACCTTTCCTTGACTCTCACTCTTTGGTAGGCGCCAATATGTTTTTTGTTCAGATAGTTTTGCTTTAGCAGATTGTTATATAAATAAAATCAGACAATATGTAGCCTTTCAGGATTGGTTTCCAAAGTTCATCTAATGCATTTGAGATTCGTGCATGCTGTGGTGTGTGTATCAGTCTCTGTTTTCTTTTAATGCAGAATAGTATCCCATTATATGGATATGCCATAGTTTGTTCAGCCATTTTATGCTTTCTTTTTATTCTCTTTTTTCAAAATTAATTATTTATTTATATTAATTTTGTGGGTACATAATAGTTGTATATATTTATGAGATACATCCGATTTCTTTTTTTTCCTTTTTTTTTTTTTTGGAGACAGGGTGGTAGTCTGTCACCCAGGCTAGAGTGCAGTAGTGTGATCGTGGCTCTCTGCAGCCTGGACCACCCTGGACTCAACCAATTCTCCTGCTACGGCCTCCTGAGTGGTTGGGACTACAGGTGTGCACTATTATGCCTTGCTGATTTTTTTGTGTATTTATACATATATTTTTTGTTGTTGTTGTTGACATGGGGTTTTGCAAAATTGACAGACTGGTGTTAAACTACTGGGCTCAAGTGGTCTGTGTGTCTTGGCCTACCAAAGTACTGGGACTACAGGTGTGAGCCACTGCACCCGGCCCTATACATGGGGTACAGGAGATGCTTGATACAGGAATACAATGCATACCAGTCATATCAGGGTAAATGGGGTGTCCAGCACCTTAAGCATTTACCCTTTCTTTGTGTTACAGACTATAAAATTATACTCTTTTAGTTATTTTAAAATATAGAATAGATTATTGTTACTGTAGTTACCCTGTTTTGCTATCAAATATAGATCTTATTCACCCTATCTAACTATATTTTTGTACCCACTAACAAAACCCGCTTCAATCCCCCCTCCAGCCACTACCACACTACCATTCCCAGCCTCTGGTAACCATCATTCTACTCTCTATCTCTGTAAGCTCAATTTTTTTTTAAAAAATTTAGTTTCCACAAATAAGTAAGAACATGTGAAGTTTGTCTTTCTGCACCACACTTATTCCACTTAACATAATGACCTCCTGTTCCATCCATGTTGTTGCAAATGACAGGATCTCATACTTTTATATGGCTGGATAGTATTCCATTGTGTATAAGTACAACAATTTCTTCATCCACTCATCTGTTGATGGACACTTAGGTTGCTTCCAAATTTTGGCTATTTTGAATAGGGCTGCAATAAACATAGAAGTGCAGGTATCCCTGTGATACACTGATTTCCTTTCTTTTGGGTGTATACTTGGTGGTGGGGTTGCTGGATCTTATAATAGCTCTATTTTTAGTCTTTTAAGGAACCTCCAACTGTTTGCCATAGTGCTTGTACTAATTTACATTCCCACCAACAGTGTACAAGGGTCCCCTTTTCTAAATATCCTTGCCAGCACTTATTACTGCCTGTCTTTTGAATAAAAGCCATTTTAACTGGGATGTGATGATATCTCATTGTAGCTTTGATTTGCATATCTCTGATGATCAGTGATGTTGAGCATCTATTCATACACCTGTTTGCCATTTGTAGTCTTCTTTTAAGAGGTGTCTATTAGATCTTCGCCCATTTTTAATTGCATTATTAGACTTTTTCCCTATATAGTTGTTTGAGCTCCTTATGTAATCTGGTTATTAATCTCTTATCAGATGGATAGTCTGAAAATCTGTTCCCCCATTCTGTAGGTTGTCTCTTCACTTTGTTGATTGTTTCCTTTGCTGTGCAGAAGCTTTTTAACTTGATATGATTCCATTTGTCCATCTTTGCTTTCGTTGCGCATGCTTGTTGATTATTACTCAAGAAATCTTTGCCAACTACAATGTCCTGATTCCTCAGTGGTTTTTGTTTCTTGTTTTTGTACAGTAGTTTCATAGTTTGAGGTCTTAGATTTTAGTCTTTTATCCATGTTTATTTGATTTTTATATACAGATCTAGTCTTATTCTGCATGTGGATATCCAGTTTCTCCATCATCATTTATTGAAGAGATTGTTCTTAGGACCTTTGTCGAAAATGAATTCACTGTATATGTATAAATTTGTTTCTGAGTTCTCCTATTCTATTCTATTCTATTCTATTCTATTCTATTCTATTCTATTCTATTCTATTCTATTCTATTGGTCTATGTTTCTTTTTATGCCAGTAGCATGTTGTTTGTTCACTATAGCTCTGAAGTATAATTTGAAGTCTGGTAATGTAATTTCTCCATTTTTTCTTTTCTTTTCTTTCTTTTTTTTTTTTGGCTTAGGATAGCTTTGGCTATTCTGGGTCTTTTGTGATTCCACGTAAATTTTAGGATTGTATTTCCTATTTCTGTGAAGAATGGCATTCGTATTTTGATAGGAATTGCACTGAATCTCCAGATTCCTTTGAGTAGTGTGGACATTTTAACAATATTGATTCTTCGAGCCCATGAACACGGAATATCTTTGTATTTTTCTTGGGTCTCCTTCAGTTTCTTTTATCAATGTTTTACAGTTTTTATTGTAGAAATTGTTTGTTCTTTTTGTTGTTGTTGTTACTTCCTAGCTATTTTATTTTATTTCCGGCTATTGTAAATGGGATTACTTTCTTGATTTCTTTTTCAGATTGTTTATTCTGGGCATATAGAAATGGCTATTTTAATGTTGATTTTATGTCTTGCAGCTTTACTGAATTTGTTTATTAGTTTGAATAGTCCTTGGTGGAGTCTTTAGGTTTTTCCAAATATAAGATTATATCATCTGCAAAGATGATTTGACTTTTTTCTTTCCAAGTTGAATGCCCTTCAGTTCTTTCTCTTGTCTGATTGATTTAGCTAGGACTTCCTACTTTATTTTCATTTTGTAGGTAGTATTTCTGCCATGAACACTAGGATTATATTAACATTTTAACTAGTTGCTGTTGTATCTACTTTTATTTTATTTTAGAACTTTTCCAATGAGTTGTTATGATTGTAGACTTTCTAATTGAAGAGCTTTTTATTTATTAAATTATTTGTAAACATTTCAATTGTAATAAGTATTGCATTTAATGAAAAATGAATTGCTTTAGAAAATATTCTATTAAAATTCTAGAGATATGTTAATGATTTATTTGTTGTATTTTTTGGTATGCTTTTTCCGGTAAAAAAATTAATTATGAAAAATTGGAAACAACAGACACGTATAAGGAAGAAAAATCCATAGTATTCTAACATGGCTCATAGTTTGCTGGAAAGTAATTACAAATTTTTTCAGTCTCTAATATCTGCAATATCAATCTCAAAGATTGAGAACTTCTGGCACACCATAGTTGGAAATTTTAAAAGTAAAGCCAAAATTAGCTAATTTAGTTAAGTGAGTTAGGGGAAGCAAGGTGAACCTATGGAGTACAGATAAGAAAACACACTTCAGTGTTCAAGACATCAAAAAGAAAAAAAAGAGGAAAGAAAAATATATTTCATTATTTGAACTAGATTACATTCTTCCCTGGAGTTCCCTACTTTTGTTATCCTGCATAACTGTGTTTTAAGTAGGGTTAAAACTAAGATATTTCAAATTCTGTAGTAGAAAAAAAATAGTCTGGTATTATAGATTAAAAAAATGAATTAAATATAATTATTAATCTAAGTTATGAAGCCTAAAAAATTCTAACTCATTTGTTTAAAACACGAATGTCCATATTCTTTTACTTTATTCCATGATATATGAAAGTATAATAGCATGCATTCTATTTATAAACATCTATGTTTATCTTAAGGTACATATGCTAATGAACATTTACAAATTGCATCCCTTACATTTTGCTATGAAGAATTTAAAGCACATACTTTACAGTTTGATTCATATTAATACTTAAGGTCTTTTTCATACAAGTTGTACCTACATTAAAAATTAGAAGGGGTCTTAGAAGTCATCTTAGTCCAAGTACCTTATTTTTCTGGAGAAGAAATTCATCTCTTAAATGGTTAGTGAATAGAAAAGTTTAAATAGATACAAGGATCCCTAGTTTCAATACAAAATAATTTCGCCTATAACATCACTGGGATGCAATGAATCTCACCAAAAATAATTTTCTATATGTCTGTTTGTAACAAGCGTTAGCCCCCAAGTATTTTAATCAAGAAGTAGCGATATATGAAAGAAATCCAGTCTTGTGGTTCACTCTTTTCTGTGACTCTCACCATTTCCCTCCCTCTATGCTCCCACCACAGTATTTGGGATCAGCTCCACCTTATCTCTTGTCAGGCCAGTACTTCTCACACCTTAGAGGATATGAGAGTCATCTGGAGAATCAGTAATGAGCACAAATTAGAATAGGGCCTGGGCCTGTGGATTTGCACCAACTTTTGTGGGTGAGTTTTATGCCCCCTAAAGAAATCACTGGTGTAGACTCCTGCATGTGCTTCCACATAAGCCCCTTCCTCTCCAGCCTTTCTCATTCGTCTCGAATCAAGAGGACGTACTTTGGCTGGCACAAGCCTTCTAACTGCCTAGTCCATTGTATTGTTCCAAACAAGTTAATGGCATGCACTGAACTGAGACACACTTTCCACCTTGGCATCGGAAGGCTCCCCTGTAACATTCTAGCCTGGGTCTCTACTCCAGCATGACTGAACTCCGGCCCTTTAAGAGGAAGCATTAAAAGTGTGATTTCTGTTCTCAGAAACTTGAGTTAAGCTTATAGTTACTACTAAGAGAAATGTTCTGAGCTTCACCATTTTTCTGGAAAAAAAAAAAGGTTTTTAGGTGCTTTGAATATGATACATAAAAGCTGGGTATGGGGGAGAAGGCACTTAGCAAACTTGGGGATGATAATATGATAGGCTGGTCACCTTTCTGTTTAATTATTTTGCTTACAATGTTTCACTGACCATAGGTTTTGAACTTATACATGCTTCAATCTTCAGTTTTGATTTCACTACTTCCTTGTGCCTTCTGATTTCCCTTGCTGTGTGCTTTCTTACTCTTCTGAACATGTATAGAGTTGTCATATAGCCACTGGAAAAAAAATTCTGCCATATATGAGTGCTCGTATGCATTCTGCATTATCCTCACACAAGGCAAGGGAGCTGATTTCATTTCCTTTTGTAATCACTGCACATGACAAGTTCCCAAAATACATATTGAATGAAGTCAATGAATACACTTATTTTGAACTCTTAATCTTTATAAACATTAATATTTTCTGGTAATCATAATAACAGCTGCTGTTTATTCAGTAGTTAACATGTGCCAGCCTTGGTGCTAAGTGTTCTGTGTATGTTATTATTATGTTCTTAGAACAACTACCCCGAGATGCAAGTATTTTAATTCCATTTCATGTATGGGGCAGTTTGAAGCTCAGTAAAAAAATACCTTAATCACTTGCAATAGCTAATAAGGACTAGAGTTGAGAACTAAATATAAACTCCTAGCAACTTTATCGATAGTGTCTATCGTCATCTTAATCTTGACTGTAGATTGACTGTTTTTGAATGGACTTAAAGTGACAGCAAATTAGTGACCACCATGTCATATTTTAAAGGCTTACAATGAAGTAATTTATTCTGTTATATAAAATAGAATGATCTTTCATCTAAATTAGAGAAGTTTTGCAATTGTGTAGGTATATTGAGTGTGTGTGTGTGTGTGTGTGTGTGTGTTTATTACATGCAGTTCAAGGGAGGCTAGGTATATGATAATATCTTATCCAAGAACTGTTCCCACTGTGCTTCCCGAAAGAAAACCGTCTGATTTCATGTCATTTCAGGCACTTTGGGTTATTTTAAAAGTCTTATCTAGTTTTTTAAGACATGGTTCTAGAATGCAGTCTAAGAATGCAGTCCCGTGTGTGATTATAAGACCTCTTTCTCCCTTCCAGTCTTTCCCTGGTTCAGAAAAGACTTGACTCCATAGGCATCATTTGGAGCTGGAGAAGACCTGTTCTTTTCCCATCGCCTTCATGTGCTCCTTGCTTTCCCCCTGGTGGTTCTACTTTATAGAGGACATTCAAATGGGAGTTCACTCTGGGATCCATTGGATAGTTTTTCTTAGGGACTCTGGGTCTCCCCTAGAGTTTCCTGGAATGAGCACTTAGTCTCTGCAAAGAAAAATTGACAGCAGAGTCTGCCACAATAAAAATTTCTACTCAAGTTTGTAGCCCTCTTGTGGGCGTGGACAGGATGATACTCCATAGAATTTCCACAGCATCCTTTTCACTCATGGAAAACTCACTCACCTTTGCCACACCAAATGTGGGATGCAGGCTTTTCCCCATCTTCCACACACATACCCCATTTCTGCTCACCTGTCTCTCCCTTAGCCCTTCTTCTGCCCAGTAGTATCAGGTGGATTTAAAGCTTAGAAAGTTCTAGAACTAAGAGATAAATCAGCCTTCAAAACAGTAGGAAGTTAAATGGAGGTAGTGGGGGAAATGCTTTTCAAGGTACCTTTATCTTGAAGAAAGGGACATTTTAATAAGCAATAGAATAATGATGAAGAAGTGGTTGTATTCCCTCAAATTCACTTATTCCCAAGTTTTATAGATCTGTGTTTATTATATTTTTTCTGCAGCCCACACTTAGAAATAATTTTTGCATTACAATCAAGTTGGCTCTCTCTCCCTCTCTCTCCTTTTCTCACACATCACATACCTGAAATAATAATAGTAAACTCAGCATTCACCTATTTTATATACCCTGCACTATGTTTCCTTTTCTTCTTCTATCCAGTACTATCAGTGTTTAACTTGCTTGTTTCGTGACCCACAAAACTGATTAGATAACCTTAACCTTTGCATGCGTCACGTTTCACAATTTATAAAGCACTGCTGTAGAAGGTAAAGACTAATAAACGTGTTGGTTGACCTTTCTTCCCTTGTACAAAGGATTCTCAGGTCAATAGCTAGATTTTACTAAACTGGCCCTGAAAATTTTATAATTTTGATTCTCAATAGCAGTTTTCTGTACTCTAGTCTGTGAGTTACTGGGGAACATTTGAAGGCAAGAAGAATAGCAGTTAATACGGCGTGCCACCTTCTCACCATGCACACTGGATTCGCAGGTAGCTGTGTATGCATGCACTTACATTTCCTAAACCAGTTTTATTGTTTTTCCTGAACATACATGCTTGTTGTTTAAAAAAAACTGTTCTGAAATATATAATTCTTTCTCATTCCTGCAGAGTAATCACTAATTCAGGTCTTTTTTAAGTCCTACTTAATACATATAAGCACCCACGCATGCTTATACTTTAGTAGTCTTTTTGTTTCTATCACGGTCTTGTTTATTCTAAAAGTTGATCATTGGAGAGAAGGTGACCTTGACATGAAAGTCGGCTCTTGCTTCAAAGTCTAAACTGGGACCTCCTTGCTGCCTTGAAGGGTAAATTTATGATCTCTCTGGGATAAGAACATGATCTTTAGACTCTATTAACTTTTATCCAACTTCTTTCTCATTTAACATGAAAATGCTTAGGTTTTTGTTTTTAACCTTGTTTTTTAGCTTTCATTGTGCACTTGCTGATTTCGTTCTCAGTGTGACCTCTTAAATATCCAAAGGGAAAGGAAAATTGCTTTAGAAAACCTCTGTGCAAGGAAGTTCAGAGAATTGGACTTACCTTTGTAAGAATAATATGAGCTGGATATAGTTTACTGGGACACAAAAATCTGCATATACCAAGGGAGTGGGACAATAGACGTAATGATGTGAATGGTAAAAATAATAAAGAGGACTTTGCCTCATTTATTGATTTTTTCAAGTATTTTCCATCTGAGTTACTGAGTACAGATCTCTTCCTTTCAATTTACAAAAACTAAAAGAACTAAAGATAGGCAATTATTTGTGGTACAGATGCATTTACAACAATATAATTCTGTTTTAAAATCAAGTTGCCTTACTCATTTCAAAGCTAAGGTTGTGATGGCATTTCTGGAAATTCTCCAATTTATCTTAAAGTTGACAGTTTTTTTTTGTTTGTTTTTTTGGTGGGGGTGGTGGGTGTGGAGACCGAGTCTCACTCTGTTGACCAGGCTGGAGTGCAGTGGTGCAATCCCAGCTCACTGCAACCTCCACCTCCCTGATTCAAGCGATTGTCCTGCCTCTGCCTCCTGAATAGTTGGGGTTACAGGTGCATGCCAACACACCCAGCTAATTTTGTATATTTAGCAGAGATGGGATTTCACCATGTTAGCCAGGCTGATCTCGAACTCCTGGCCTCTGGTGATCCACCCACCTTGGCCTCCGAAAGTGCTGGGAATACAGACATGAGCCACTGCGCAGCCAAGCTGACGTTTCTTACAGCTATTGCCTCAAATAAGTACACGATGGAGGATGTCCTTATGGCTTAAGTCTGCCTCATAGACGATTGTTCAGTGAAACACTTAAATTACTCCCTAAGTCTCAACTCTAATTCCTTAGGTCATAACTAAAAAATTTACTTTTGGCTAAGGAGTGCAAGAAACAGACAAGCAACCAAAACAAAACCTATACATACTCCCCCTCCAAACACACACCAAGATTCTCTTTAATATTCATTATGATAATTGTAACCATATAAGGAGTTCTTTTTGCGTGTCTGACAGTATGCTATACATTGTCACTAAACCCCCAAAGAAAACTTAGAGGTATTATTACTAAGTTACAGATAAAATTTTTTTAAAAAGATTTAAGTTGTTCTAACGTCACGTTGGTGAAGATTTTAACCCATCTTTCAGAATATACCATGGACATAGTTGTCAGGCAAGCAAGTTAGTGTAGAGATGCCTTTCATTGTTTAATGGTAGGTGCTCTTTTAGATGTCTGGTAGGAACCCAATAGTTATCTTGTTTATTAATAATAACAGGATCAAGAGGGGAAGTCATTTTCTTTGGTTCTCTTATTTCCAAGCAACATTTCTGCATTAGTAATGAACTCCTTAAACAAACACTGAGGATTCTTATTAGCTTTCTTTTTCTATGGCAAACATTATTAACTGATCACGGCATCTTTACACTGGAAGGGCTGGGCAGCAGAAGCTTCCACAGAAGGCTCTCTGGCCAGACACCACCAATCAATTATTGAAGGTATCAAAATTAAAACCAATGTGCCATTTCTGCCTTTTTCTATCCTATGACTCTCTTACACTGAGGATTAGAAAGACAATTTTGAATTTTTCACTTAAGTCTTAAGAGACATGTTGATTTGCAAGAGGTATTTATGAGGTGTTATGCAGAGTAAGCTAGTTAACTCTGATATCCTCTCTCATGGAGACTAAGTAAGTTGGCTTTCCCTGTTAAGGAAAATAGTGTTAACATCTGCATTTCACAGTGAGTTAAGAATTTTCGGGAATGGGGCATTACATTTACGGCCTAGGTTCTGAAATTGTACATGAACAATTTGAGCTCAAAGATTACAATGTTGAAAATCAGTGATTTTCTAACAGCTCCTTAATGTATAGCAGCAGCAACAGCCATCACAATAATAATATAACTTTTCCAGGTTCCTACTATGAAGCTAAGCTCTATACAGACAAAGCTTATTTTATTGTACTTTGTGTTATTGTGCTTTGCAGACAATGCATTTTTTTTTTCCAAATGAAAAATTTTTGGCATCATTTTTGCAGCAGTATATGCCTAATTCATGTGTTTGGGTCACATTTTGGGAAATCTCAGAATATTTCAAATTAATTCATTATTATTGTATCTGTTATTGTGATCTGTGATCAGTGATCTTTGATGTTACTCTCATAATTCTTTTGGAGTGCCATGAACCATGTCAGTATAAAACAGCAAAGTTAATCAATAAATGTTGTGTGTGTTCTGGCTGCTCCACCGACTAGCTGTTGCCCCATCTATCTCCTTTTCCGCAGGCCTCCATACTCCCTGATACACAGCAACTTTGAAATTATGGCAATTAATAATCCTATAGTCACCTCTAAGTACTCAAGTTAAAGGAAGAGTCACACATCTCTCAATATAAATCAAAAGCAAGAAAAGATTAAGCTTAATGAGGAAGGCATGTCAATAGCCAAGACAGGCCAAAAGCTAGGCCTCTTGGTTCAGTTATCCAAGTTGTGAATGCAAAGGAAAACTTCTTGAAAGAAATTAAAAGTGCTACTCCAGTGAATGCACAAATGATAAAGCAAAACAGCCTTATTGCTGATATGAAGAAAGTTTTAATGGTCTGTATAGATCAGAGCAGCCACAACATTCCCTTGAGCCAAAGCCTAATTCCAGAGCAAGGCCGTAACTCCCTTCAGTTCTATAAAGGCTGAGAGAGATGAGGAAATTGCAAAGGAAAACTTTGAAGTTAGCAGAGTTTGGTTCATGAGGTTTAAGGAAAGACACTGTCTCCATAACATCAAAGTGCAAGCTGAAGCAGCAAGTGCTGTTATAGAAATCACAGCAAACCGGTTATCCAGAAGATGTATCTGAGATCATTGCTGAAGTTGGCCACACTAGACAACAAATTTTCAGTGTAGCCAAAACAGCCTTCTATTGGAAGAAGATGGCGTCTAGGAATTTTAGAGCCAGAGAGAAGCTGATGCCTCTCTTCAAAGCTTCAAAGGACAGGCTGACTCTTTTGTTAGAGGCTGATGGAGCTGACAGCTTTAAAATGAAGCCAGTGCTCATGTATCTTTCTGAAAACCCTAAGGACCTTAAGAGTTAGGCTGACTGTGCTCTACAAATGGAACAACAAACCCTGGATGATAGTACCTCTGCTTGCAGCACAGTTTACTCAATATTTTTAAGCCCACGATTGAAACCTACTGCTTAAAGAAACAACATTTTCTGTCAAAATATACCTGCTCATTAACAATGCACCTGGTTACCCAAGAGCTCTGATGGAGAGGTGCAAGGAGAATAATGTTTTCAGGCCTGCCAGCACAACATTCATTGTACAGCCCTTGAGTTAAGGATAATTTTGTATTTCAAATCTTATTTTTTCAAAAGTTGATTCCAACCCTCATGAATGACTTTGAGTGGCTCGAGACTTTAGTGAAGGAATTAGCTGCAGAGGTGGTGGAAATAAAAAGATAACTAAAATTAGAAGTGGAGTCTCCAGAAGTTCCTGAATTGCTGTACTCTCATGATAAAACCTAAGTGGATAAGGATTTACTTCTTATGGATGAGCAAAGATGGAATTTACTCCCAGTAAATACGATGTGAACATTGTTGAAATGACAGCAAAGGATTTAGAATATTATATAAAGTTGGTTGATAAAGCAGTGGTAGATTGTATTAGTCAGTCTAGAGGGACAGAACTAATAGGAGATATATATGTATATATAAAAGGGAGTTTATTAGGTAGCATTAACTCACACGATCACAAGGTCCCATCATAGGCCATCTGCAAGCTGAGGAGCAAGGAAGCCAGTCCAAGTCCCAAAGCTGAAGAACTTGGAGTCCGATTTTCAAGGGAAGGAAGCATCCAACACAGGAGAAAGATGTAGGCTGGGAGGCTAAGCCAATCTAGCCTTTTTATGTTTTTCTGCCTGCTTTATGTTCTGGCAGCACTGGCAGCTGATTAGATGGTGCCCCCCCCAGATTAAGGGTGGGTCTACCTTTCCCAGCCCACTGACTCAACTGTTAATCTCCTTTGACAACACCCTCACAGACATATCCAGGATCAATAGCTTGCATCCTTCAATCAAATTAAGTCGACACTCAATATTAACCATCCCATGGAATTTGAAAGGGTAGACTCTAATCTTGAAAGAAGTTCAACTGTGGGAAAAATGCTATCAAACAGCATCACATGCCACAGATAAATACTTTGCAAAGGAAAAGTCAATCAATGTGGCAAAATCCATCGTCTTAATTTTTGAAATTTTCATAGCCACCCCAACATTCAGCAACCAACACCCTGATCAGTCAGCAGCTAGTAATAGCAAGGCAAGTTCCTCCACCAGCAAAACATTTAGACTCACTAAAGGCTCAGATGATTGTTAGCATTTTTTGGCAATAAAGTGTTTTCTAATTAGGATATGTCCACTTTTTTTAGATGTAATGCTGTTGCACACTAGTAGACCACAGTATAATATAAACATAACTTTTTTTTATTATACTTTAAGTTCTGGGATACATGTGCAGAACGTGCAGGTTTGTTGCATAGGTATACACATGCCATGGTGGTTTGCCACACCCATCAACCCATCATATACATTAGGTATTTCTCCTAATGCTATCCCTCTCCTAGCCCCCCACCCTCCGACAGGCCCCAGTATGTGATGTTCCCCTCCTTGTGTCCATGCGTTCTCATTGTTCAACTCCCACTAATGAGTGAGAACATGCAGTGTTTGATTTTCTGTTCCCGTGTTAGTTTGCTGAGAATCATGGTTTCCAGCTTCATCTGTGTCCCTGCAAAGGACATGAACTCATCCTTTTTTATGGTTGCATAGTATTCCATGGTGAATATGTGCCACAGTTTCTTTATCCAGTCTATCATTGATGGACATTAGAGTTGGTTCCAAGTCTTTGCTGTTGTGAATAGAGCTGCAATAAACATACGTGTGCATGTGTCTTTATAGTAGGATGATTTATAATCCTTTGGATATACACCCAGTAATGGGATTGCTGAGTCAAATGATATTTCTGGTTGTAGATCCTTGAGGAATCACCACAGTGTCTTCCACAGTTGTTGAACTAATTTGCACTCCCACCAACAGTGTAAAAGTGTTCCTGTTTCTCCACATCCTCTCCAGCATCTGTTATTTCCTGACTTTTTAATGATCACCATTCTAACTGGTATGAGATGGTATCTCATTGTGGTTTTGATTTGCATTTCTCTAACGACCAGTGATGATGAGCTTTTTTTCATATGTTTGTTGACCGCATAAATGTCTTCTTTTGAGAAGTATCTGTTCATATCCTTTGACCACTTTTTGATGGGGTTGTTTGTTTTTTTCTTGTAAATTTGTTTAAGTTCTTTGTAGATTCTGGATATTAGCCTTTAGTCTGATGATTCTGGATATTAGCTCTTTGTCTGATGGAGAGATTGCAAAAATTTTTTCCAATTCTGTAGGTTATCTGTTCACTCTGCTCATAGTTTCTTTTGCTGTGCAGAAGCTCTTTAGCGTCAGCATGACTTTTAAACGCACTAAGAAACCAAAAATGTATGTGACTTGCATCATCACGATATTTGCTTTATTGGGGTGATATGGAGTCGAACCCACAATGTCTTCAAAGTATGCCCATACTAAGTACCCACTCCTTATACACTCAATTTTCACAACAATCTTGTAAGATAATTTTATTCTTTATAAGTCAAAACAAAATATTTACAGTTCAGGCTTCAGTAACTTGCTTATCAGCAACACAGCTACACTTCTCAACTGAATACCAAGGCTGCCTTTTCCTCTAAAGTTGTAATGTGACATAGTACTAAATGATACCAGAGACTTTTCATGGCAAACCTATAAAAAAAGTAGTGTTGGTCGGGCGCAGTGGCTCACGCCTGTAATCCCAGCACTTTGGGAGTCCAAGGCAGGCAGATCACGAGGTCAGGAGTTCGAGACCAGTCTGACCAACATGGTAAAACCCCGCCACTACTAAAAATACAAAAATTAGCTGGGCGTGGTGGCAGGCACCTGTAATTCCAGCTACTCAGGAGGCTGAGACAGGAGAATTGCTTGAACCCGGGAGGCGGAGGTTCCAGTGAGCTGAGATCGTGCTACTGCATTCCAGCCTGGGCGACAGAGCGAGACTCTATCTCAAAATAAATAAATAAATAAATAAGTAGTGTTTCTAATATCTCTCAGGCTGTCTTTAAAACTGCATGTTTAAACAGTTTGCTAGACTAATATGTTCAGTATCCTTGGTAGTTGTAAGTTTCTTGTATCTTCTTTCTTTACTCTTTCTCTGCAAAAGCATAATCCATCTCATTGCTGATATTCTCAGATTCTAATCTGGTACAGGTTAACAATATAAAGCAGTATGCACTTATTCACAAAATAATATATATTTGTAGATTTTGTGATTCACAATAAATCAGTAATAGCATATTGCTCTCTCTCTCCCCTACTGGCCTTGGTGATAGTTGTTCTGGGAATTCTATAAACCATGGCATCATCATGAGAGAGACACACAGGCTTTCTTTCTGATGTTAATCAAACCATTTCTATTTCTTCATAGCTTTTCATTAGATGGATTTTGGCTTTATGTAATACAGAAACACATCTTACTTTTAAATTGAACTGTATGATTTTAATTTATTCTTCATCTTTGCTAATTGTTTTACTTTGGTCAAATCTGAAAATCCTTCTATACCTCAGAAATGTATCTGGAAAAATGGGGATAAACATAAATCACAGGGTTATCATAAAGATTTTAATATACTAGTGAGGAATTCCTTTGAAATTGAGTATGCATTGACTGCTATTGTTATTACTAGAACGACTTGGAAGTGGACATGAATCATTTTTAAATAGTTGTTTGGTGGTACAGTTTTTTTAAAAAAAATTTCTATAGGTTTTTGGGGGCAGGTAGTATTTGGTTGCATGAGTAAGTTCTTTAGTGGTGATTTGTGAGATTTTGGTGCACCCATGACCCAAGCAGTATACACTGTACCCAATTTGTAGCGTTTTATCCCTCATGCTCTTCCCACCCTTTCCCCCTGAGTCCTCAAAGTCCATTGTATCATTCTTATGTCTTTGCATCCTCATAGTTGAGTTCTCGCTTATGAGTGAGAACATACAATGTTTGGTTTCTCATCCCTGAATTACTTCACTTGGAGTGATAATCTCCAATCCCATCCAGGTTGCTGTGAATGCCATTAATTCACATTTTTTTTTCTTTTATGGCTGAGTAGTATCCCATCATGTATATATCCCACAGTTTTTTTATCCACTCATCGATTGATGGGCATTTGGGCTCGTTCCATATTTCTGCAATTGCAAATTGTGCTGCTATAAGCATGCGTGTGCAAGTATCTTTTTTGTATAATGGCTTCTTTTCCTCTGGGTAGATACCCAACAGTGTGATTGCTGGATCAAATGGTAATTCTACTTTTAGTTCTTTAAGGGCTCTCCACACTGTTTTCCATAGTGGTTGTGCTAGTTTACATTACTACCAGCAGTGTAGAGGTGTTCCCATTTCACCACATCCATGCCAACATCTATTTTTTTTTTTTTTTTTGGTTATGGCCATTATTGCCAGAGTAAGGTGGTATTGCATTTTTGGTTTTGATTGGCGTTTCCCTGGTCATTAGTGAGATTGAGCATTTTTTCACATTTGAAAACATAGCTTAGCTCCCACTTATAACTGGGGGCCATTTCTATATTTTCTTTTAATTTTTAAATAGTTTAAAAACATAAGCAAAGCTATATAGTCTCATATTTTAACAACTAGCTTGAAAGTATTTAATGGAAAAATTTATATTAGTATTGCTTATGTAAACCTTTATTGGTAGTTGGTGATACTTCTATCACTCATGTTAAATTCTCTTCTCAAATAAATTATAGTGTTTTATAACACACACATACACACACGTGTGCACCTAACATTTGTTGTGATTTGCTAAGTACTAGGCATATAATTTGCCTCCCAATTTATTACAAGTAAGGTTTATCAAATATTTTACCACTGCATAACATGGAATATCACCTTGCCAGCCTCCAATAGTATTTCCTTGACACCAGCTGCCTGACTGCTAAGGCGTTGACAACTATTTTTGTTTTAATTGTAGCAGGATCCCACTCTTGGTACTTGTTTAGGTATTAGGGTGATTTCGATGGGCCCATTAACCCTACTGACTGAGCATCTCAGTGGCTCAACACAGAAAAGATGCATTTCTTGCCCATGCTATATGTCTGAATGACTGTTGATTGGCTGCAAGTCAACAGTTCTAAAATAAAACTATGCTTAGCTTTAAAAAAATAAAATAAGGGTCAGTAAAATATCTAGTTATTTTTCTTTATTTTTATTTTCTCACATTTTCATTTAATTTTACATTATTTTATAAATATAACTGTACAAACTGTAAAGCCAGTTATTTGCTAAAGAGTTTTTTGATAAAACAAAATGATTGAGTAGAAAATCTCACCATGATCTTTGACTTACTTAATGGTAGTTACAGAAAACAATTTATATAAATTAAAAGGCCATACATAGTCCAAGCAACCAACAAGTATTTGACTCATACAAATCTGTATCATGATGTCCATTAGCTCAAGATGTTGACTTTTCTTCTTTTTCTTCTTGCTGGTTTTTTTTTAAACTATTTTTTTTTTCATCTAGCCACCAGAGAATGCTTATGGGAAGTTAACATAAATATCAAACAGTGTTTTCAAATATTGTTTATGCTTGACTGAATAGGGATTTGCACAAAGAGTGGTTAAATATATGGACTAAAATAGATGCTCCCCATTATAAAATAATATTTGGTAGATTACTTATAAAATTTTTCTTGTTATTTTGAAACCCAAAGTTGTTTATATATATAGTCCTACTTTTTAGATTTAAGCCTTTTTTATGTGTTTGCTATTAACTGACTTAGAAAAAGTAATACCTTAAAATAAGAAAATAAATGCTTAGGACAATAGGTAGATTGAAAATTCATTTGAAATTAAAAAAAATCTGTGACATTTATTTTTGTGCATATTAGTTCCAGAACTGAAAATAAAGCCCTGGCAGTCTCAGTGTCTATATATATATATGTGTGTGTATATATATATATATATATATATAGAGAGAGAGAGAGAGAGAGAGAGAGAGAGAGAGAGAGAGAGACATATATATGAATGATATGAATGTGTACTATGATACATTGGCCTTTTTGAATTACTTTTACAATTGCTATAGTTAAGCCATAATCATAGCAAAATATTTCACCAAGATGAAAGGAATATAAAAATGTTTCTGGCATTATAAAAATTGCAGTGAAGAAATTGGAACTTAAAGCCAAAACAAATAGCTTACATAATTAAAACAGAGCTTTGTCTGTGGTAAATTTTTTGGCCTGGAAATGTGAAATATTTCTTAATTCTTGAAAGTAATAGTTGTGAACACTTCATAAAATTATAGTGAGAGAGAGAATGTGCTGTAATTAGCAGCTGAAGAGATAAATAGAAAATCTTGCTTAGTCGTGTACCTTACATTTTCATCCTGACAATGCTGAATACATTTTAATGAGAATAAAATAAATTAAAATTAAAGCATCAGCATAGATTCTATATATACTGTTTTTCCAATCCACATTCCAAGAGTACCTCTGTGTTTACCATTGCTATATATATATGTGTGTGTGTGTGTATATACATGTGTATATATATATGTATGCACATATATATATACATATATATATAATTTCATTAGTTTGGGGGAACAGGTGTTTTCTGTTACATAGATAAGTTCTTTGGTTCTAATTTCTGAGATTTTGGTGTATCTGTCACCCAAGAAGTGTTCAGTGTACCCAATGTATAGCCTTTTATCCCTCAGCTCCCTCAGCCCCTTCCCCCCGAGTCTCCAAAGTCCATCGTATCATTCTTATACCTTTATGTTCTCATAGCTTAGCTCCCACTAATAACTGAGGACATGTGATATTTGATTTTCCATCCCTGAGTTACTTCACTTAAAATAATGATCTCCAACTCCATTTGGGTTGCTATAAACGCCATTATTTTGTTCGTTTTTATGGCTGAGTGGTATTCTATGGTGTATATATTCCCCATCTTCTTTATCTATTCATTGGTGAATGGGCATTTAGGCTGGTTCGTATTTCTGCAATTGCAAAAACAAATAACCTCATCAAAACATGGGCAAAGGACATGAATAGACAATTCTCAAAAGAAGATAAACAAATGGCCAACAAACATATGAAAAAAAATGCTCAACATCACTAATTATCAGAGAAATGCGAATTAAAACTAATGAGATACCACCTTACTCTTGCAAAAATGGCCACAATTAAAAAAATCAAAAAATAATAGATATTGGCATGGATGTGGTGAAAAGGGAACACTTTTACACTGCTAGTCAAAATGTAAACTAGTATAGCCACTGTGGAAAACAGTATGGAGCTTCCCTAAAAAACCAGAAGTAGAATTACCGTTTGATCCAGTAATCCCAATATTGGGTATCTACCCAGAAGAAAAGAAGTCATTATAAGAAAAAAAGACCCTTGCACATGCATGTTTATACCATTGCTTTTAGATTTTACTTTGCAGACTTGTAAGAATTCTGTGATACAATGGGAATATGTTACTTTTGTTGCTGAGTTTTACATGATAGATTTCTGTCATATAAGTCAGCAATAAAATTAATGATTAATGATTCTTATGACCTCCTTATATATATCTTAATGAGACCAACATTAAAGTTTGGCATTAATTAAATTCTGGGCCAAAAAATATATTATTTCAGACGCAGCTTGTACATTTTTTTAAATTGACTTTTGAGCTGATGTTAGGTTTGATTAGAAAAACATATTCAATGAGCTCCAAAAGTTGTGCTTATATGTGATGTCAGAAATATCCGGATACTGAATACAGAAATTGAAATGAAAGATGGAAACCTGAAGAAGACTACTTTTGAAATAGAGTGATCTAATTTTTATATTTACTACCTTCAAAGCCCACCTCTCACTGTATACTTTTTTGGGGTAAAAAAAAAATGTGCACTTCACATTCCCAGTTATCTACGAACTGACTAGATTCATTTAAATTCATTACATAGTTATCAAACCTTCACTACGTTACAGGACTGTGCTACATACTGGCTAGACGACAATAATGAAGCTCATTGAAAATATCATTAGGGACACACATAATTTGCTGAGCTTTCCACCAATGGAATTACCTAGGTGCTCTGGTACATGAAGACAAACTTTATTCTGCCTGGGGAAAGCACTGGGGTTTTCCAGAAGAGGTCATCTTTGGTTAAGCCTTAAAAGAATTGGTGGATTTTTTCAAGTAGAGGTCTTTCTGAGAACACTGTAAACTGAATGATCAGTGTGAACAAATGTATGGGCCGTAAGTGGCCTCACAGAGACAGGAGAAATGTCCACTAGTTGAGTGTTTATTGTAGCATCTGGGCGAAGTGTGAAGAGAAACAGATGAGCAGTGTGTCAAGTAGGGAGGAGAGGCGACAGAACGGAGGGAAACTGGAATTGTGAGGATTCAGTGTATGGGACACACACAGATGTTGTTGGGGCGGTAGACAGGACTTGGGAACTAGATTTGAACTCTTATTTTACTATATGTATACTTATTTTACCCATTATTATACAATGCTACATATTCTGATAGTAAAATAAGTATAACCACATCTACCATGTTCACATCTTGAAGAGGGTTGAAGAAAATCAAATGACGTGGCTTCGAAGTCCTTCCTCCGAACCAGATAGGTTCTGCTCAGTGAGTGAGGGTGTATTTGCCTAGACATGCAAATGAATGAATGAGAGAAGTGCACGAGAAAACCTACTATCACCAAAGACCTACGTCAGTTTTCCCAAACAGCTTTATTAGTAATACAGCTAACATTTAAATTCAAAAATGATAAAATGAGGAGAAATGCTTACATTTGTCATTTGTATTAGGGATGAGTGACTACAATTGGGAAACAGAGAGGAAGACATTTTTGTATTTGAATTGTTGATAGATGGTAATGCTAAGAACAGGATAAAGAATGGAGGAGAAAAATGAGGAGAAGCTGGGGAGAGACTTCAGGTAGGATCTACTGTTTTTTTACAGTTGGTGAGGTGCCTGCATGTCCTCATCATTGAGCTACAATTTTGTTTTGATGTCAACCAAGGTGTAAAAACTAGATCATCCGTATACAGGTGGCAGTTACACTTGTGGGAGGGAATGTGATGCCCAGGAATTTGTGTAATAATTCATGTGTTAGACAGTTGAATCATGAATAGTGAATGCAGAAAGCAAACATATGATGTAAATTCTTGAATGATATTTATCTCGGAGAATCAGGAGACCCTGAAATGAGCAAAAAGAGGATGACTGCCCCATGAAAGGAGCCCTAGAGGGAAGAGCGAAAAGAGATAGAAGAATGTATTAGGGTGTGAACATCACACAACTGATGGATAGGATAAGACCTGAGAAAGGGATCATTACTCTTGCCCCAAGAGAGTCAGTGGTGTCTTGCATTGAGTACTTTTCAGTGGAGTGGCTGGAGATGAAATACAATTGCAGGAAATTAAAGAATGCATGGAGGTAAAAACAAAGAAACAGAAATGCAGTCTACACTTTCAAGAAGGTTGATGATGATGGAAAGAAATGTGTTTGAGAATAAAACACCCCGTGAAAGATTAGCATGCAAAGACAACACAACAAACCAATATACTGTTTTGTTTTTCCCTTTGGTCCTATTCCAACTAGCTAATGGTGGCTGTATAGCCTTCTTATATGACTCACCATTTAGTTTAGGTTTTCTGTCTCCAGGGAGAGCATAACATGGTAAACCCTTGGAATATCATGTCTCCTTTGCTAGTTTTCTTCTTTCCAGTTCAGGGGATTGCAGTGATATTTTCCATCATTGACTGCAGCAAAGATCCCAAAGGTGGAAATATGCCTCCCTCAAAGGTACTGATGTCATCTCCATTAGGAGGAATTTCTGTATAATCTCACTAAAGACACCATGAAGATTTGTCCTGTGTTTTCAGTGTCTGATGGATGCTGCTGTAAGGCAGCTCTTAGTTTTTATTTGCACTTTTATGCTTTAATGCAATTCTCCCTCTCTCTAGGACTCAAGTATGAGTCCCACAGGAGAAGGGCTGGCAGAGGCATTAAGTGCTAGACCATGAGCTGTATTGCATCATTCTTTCATTCAGACCTGGCTCGTGGTTTTAAACTATAGTTGTATACTCTGGCCTCTTTTTCTTTAGAAGATATTTCTTTCTTTTTTCTTTTTTTTAAGGGGCCTCTCTGACTATGCTTACAGACTTCTTTTTCTTTGTGAGTCAATCCTGCTTGCCCATCACAAGTACTCAGATTAGGCTACCAATTGGAGTAACCTGCTGCTACGTTAGTTATTACAGAGGGAATTGTGTTATACAGAGGGAATAAGTTATACAGAGGTAATGATGAAGTAGGTAAAGTTCAAATTGCTGTTCTCTTGCTTTTCATTGAATAAGGGAGGGAGATGGGGTAAAGGGTAGCAAACTGATAATGGAAAGGAAGAGTGGTGCTACTTTCATTAATATCTAAAAAGCAATAGCCGACATAACTGTCTTCATGCTAAAATCAAAAGTGTAAGCAATATGATAATTCTTAATACTGCCATGTGCAGATGTACCAATCATGCTTGTGTTAATGCACCATGTAACCGAGAAGATGAAGAAATCAAAGACATGTGATTACATCCAAAGACCAGGAGAAAATCACGATAGTATTGAGGATACTTTCAAAGTAAGTGGCTAAGGAAAATTTTGCTACATCTTTCATGAATGTCACAGAAAAAGAGACAGTTTGAAAATGGAAATTTTTCCAAATCTTATTGAAGTTTTGCTAGTATATTTTACTGAGAATTGAGCAATGATTTTTGAGATCTTCATTATGCTGAAGATTAAAAATACCAAGTTGTTGTTTCTAAACTCATTTTTTTCAGAGAATAGATAGCTTTTCAGCATTTAATATGTACAATAAATTGCACTGTGGCGATACACAGATGAATCTGACACAGTGTCTATTCTATTTAATTAATGTCCTGATATAAAACGCACTTTAGAAAACATTAAGCATTATAAGGGGTAAATTATTGAAGGTGTTCAAACAGATTATGTTCATATATAGCGATTAGGAAAAGCCTTGTAAAAATTTTGGCATTAGTTGGACCTTTATAATAGATAGCACTTAGAATGGCAAGAGAAAATATGGTGCCTTCCAAATAGAGGGAACCACATAAATCACGTGGTAGAAGACACAAGCAATGAACATAGAATGCATGGCCTCTTTTTATTGGGTCGAGTGATTTTATGAAAGAAGTTAAGAGAAATGAGGTTGAAAATGCAGTTTGAGGCAAGTCATTTCATACCATAATAAGGAGTGTGGGTTTTATCTGAAATAATTTCATTGGGTAACTTTAAAACAACTTGTTAAATGATCTGATCGGAAATTCTACATAGAAGCTACTGCAGATAGCAAGCCTTTTGAGTTCTACTTTTTTTCCCCTTTCAACAACTTCTACGTAAGAAGAATTAAAGTCCACAGACTATCAGAATTAAGGGAACTTTGATTTTCTTCCTCAAAATGATGCCTACTGTTAAGTATGAAAGGTTAACCTTACTCCAGGAAAGGAAGAGTAAATCTATGGGGTCAGGAAGGCTGTTGTGGTGAATGGATAACTTAATGAAATGATCAAATAGTCCTGAATGATGTTAATTAGGGCAATTTTGTATTACTATAATTGCTTTGTATTTATTGAATTATTGCAATGGGTGAGTTACTAGACAGAAAGAAATCTATGCAGTACGCTGACCAAACACTGAAAGGATGACAGAATTGGAATGCTCTTGGCTGTTCAATTCACTGCTTAAGCAGTCTCCAAATACATTAGGCTATTTTTTTTCTTTTTCTCTTTTTCTTCTTGCTCATTATCTGCTCATTGTCCTTGGATGGGACAGTTCCTTATTTGAGAGTATATCACATGTTCAGATCTTTTTCATATAAACTTTCCTGGCAGACACTGATTCTACAAGTGTTGTACATTGTTTAATGATTTTGTAAAACAGATATTTACTGAGAGACTGCAGTAAGACAGACTCATTACCCAAGATCAGTGAACCCACTGCATGCAATAGATGAGGAAGCTTCTCTCCCATAATTCCGAACTGAAATACAAATGCTGCCTTTAGTCGCAGAAGTTAAAACCTTAAAAGTTTGTGTTGAATAGGGAATGTCATTGGGGGACATATCGAACCATGTGTTAAGATGTGTGAATGGAAGGGTCTGGAGAAAAGAGAGAAGATTGGAAGAGAAATGTATGGGTGGTACATGTAGGGAATAGGGACTCAAAGGGAATGTCTGAGCAATGGGAGACACTGTGAGGCCATGGGATGTGGCAATGGCAGCCTCAGCTCATAGTACGGTTACATTATTTATTCTTTTTAGTTTTCCAGAAAAAAAATAATATTGCCAAGTATGCCAACCTAAATAACAACTCATGTTTCAACACTGTATTTTCTAGGTTGTTACTGGCAACTTAGAAAGCCTTTACTTTGGAAAGAGTGCTTGAGTGGTATTGAGGTTCCCACATTGGCTTAGCAAAGTCTTCTTTGATAACTTACTTCTAGAATTATATTAATGAACAGTAGTAACTTGCTATTTCAAACATGATCTTTATGGGGAAATGTGTACTGAACTCCAGTAAAATGACAACAGCATATATGTCCACACCATGACAGTCTTTTATGCCACTGGAAAATGTTCAGAAGTGGAGGCTTCCTGCCAGCAGTAGTGGACAGAAGAATGAAAGTAAGAGTCAGATTTTTTGGAAAAGCATTTCATAGCTTTCGTCCCCGGTGGCTTTGGAGGAATATGCCACTTCTGTTACTGTGGGAAGTGCAGTCAGAAATAATAGTAACAGTGGTAGCTGCCAGGGATAGGTCTGTGGACTTTGGGAACTGAAGTACTTGAATTTGCTATCTTTATCTTGATTGGAATCTATGACTATTTTAAACACTTTCTCCAATTTACAACGGCTTCTCTAAGAAAAGCTTCACAGCTTTCTTTCAGAAAAGCTTTGAGAGGTAGGTTTGATTGGCCTAGTTTTATTAATGATGGCTTTAAAGCATATTGAGATTGAGGCTGTCACTGCCAAACATAGCACCTCTCTTTGTGAGGCCCTATTTCTCCAACATACACATTTCTCACTCTCTGCCACTTTTTCAGCTGTCCAGTTTCTCTGCTGATCTGTAAATTCAGTCATGGAGGAAGAATAAGCTTAATATAATCTTCTTATTAGAAAGCTTTTACTGCGACAAAAAATCCCCAGGATCTTAGCTCTAAGTCTCTTCAACCCCTGTCTATAGGACCTACGTAAAGGGCAAAAGTGTAAAATAAATAAAAGGAGATAAAATGAGGAGAGGGGCAAAAACGAAAGAATTACTTATTAGGAAAAGTAAGAGAATGTGAAAAAGAATTATTTGCAATGTCAAGGTTTACATACTTCTCCAGGTCAAGTTTATTTTTCTCCAACATTATTAATGATTTATTGAATCTGAACCCCAAGCATAATTCTGTTCTAGGCAGTGAGGAGTCATAAATATGATAGAAAATGTTCTTACCTTCAGAGTGGTTACAATGTGATAGAAAAGTGTATATTTATAAAATATTCTAAGTTATTTCAAAATAGAATTGAGAATGTGACAAAAGCATAGGCTGTAGAAAAAATGGTTTTAGGTAGATTTTCTCTGGGCAGCCCCACCTTCCAGTATCAGTAAAAAACCTGTGTTGAAAATTGCTACCAGACAATCTCTCTTGTTGAGCATGTCTAAAAAAGTTTCATGCCTATCAGTTTTGTATTCTATCACATATCAGTATGGTGCCCTTAAGCAGATTCCAAGAGGACCTCCTCAATCGGAACATATCGCCTCATAAATTATAGGATTAATTTGTTTTAAAGATGCCAACTTTCTCTCTTATTCAGGAATGCTTTTTTTCTGAAAATATACTTAGAATCTTAGTAGATACTCTCGTGAATTTCATGACTAATTCTAATTTGTTCAATAAACTGTTGATTAAATTACATAAAATTTGGGCACACTGGATAATAAGTACAGAGAACTCATCCCTGTCCCTTCAACCTTGCTGTGGGAGCCACTGTTCTTAATTTTCTAAATAATTCCAGTGAGTACTTTTACTTAAATTATTTGAATAATTCCACCTGTGCAAACCTGACTGCAATGGGCTGTTAACCTAGAAACCCTGAGTATTAGATTATATCTGAAATAATTGCCAAGCTTATTGTTTAGTTTAACCCTAGTTTAACTCAGATATACCAATGCCTCATTATGTTTGTTAACTCTATTCTGATTCTTCACATATGATTAATTATGATTTATTGAGAACATCGTTTTCCCTCTGTGTTTACTACAGTCCACAGAGTCTATAGGAGCGGAAATCTAATGGGTTTGGTGTTCACTGGAGTTGTTCCTTTGAAATAATTAAGGCTTTATTTTAAACTTAGCAATAGGGTAAGGACTGCCAGATATTTCTTTATGTACTTGAATAAAATTTGCTTAAATTCTTCAAATCTCTGGTCTCAAACTAATTGATTTCTCTGATGCAGTGCTTCCTTCTCCCAATTGTGTGCCTTTAAATGAAAAATCTCTCTTCTAACCCTCTAGCTATAAGGAGTTTGCCAAAGGCAAAGTTGTTAACCAAGATTTTTATTTTGACCCATAGTTCCAGCTTTCTTTTCGTTTTGACAGTTAATATGAATATACAGAATCTCAGTGTATTAGGCTATTCTTGTGTTGCTATAAAGCAATATCTGAGACTGGGTAATTTATGAAGAAAAGAGGTTTAACTGGCTCTGTAAGGTGTACGGGAAGCATGGTGCCAACATCTGGTTGGCTTCTGGGGAGGTCTCAGGGAGCTTACAATCATGGAAGAAGGTGAAGCAGGAGCAGGCATATCACATGGTGAGAACAGGAGCAGGAGAGGGAGTGGGGGAGGTGCCACACACTTTAAACAACCAGATGTTGTGAGAGGACAGCACCAAACCATGAGGGAGCCTTCCCTATGACCCAGATTCCACTAGTCTCTGCCTTCAACACTGGGGATTACATCTGCACATGAGATTTGGAGGGAACATATATCCAAACTATATCATTCCACCCCGAACCTACAATCTCATTTCCTTCTCACATTACAAAATACAAAAATCTTGTCCCAATAGTCCCCCAATGTCTTATTTCATCCCAGCATTAACTCAAAAGTCCTAAGTCCAAAGTTCCATCTGAGACAAGGTGAGTCCCTTACACCTATGAGCCTGCAAATTCAAAGCAATTTATTTACTTCCAAGATGAAAGGTGGGTGCAGGCATTGGATAAACATTTCTGCTCCAAAAAAGAGAAACTGGCTAAAAGAAAGGGGCCCTAGGTCCCATGCGAGTTTGAAACCTGGCAGGACAGTCATTAAACCTCAAAACTTCAAAATAATTTTGTTTTACTACATGTCCCACATCCAAGGCACACTGCTGCAAGGGGTTGGCTCCCAAGGGCTTGGACAGCTCCACCTCTGTGGCCACTGCTCTATCAGGCTGTTGGGTGTTTTTCCAAGTGCAGGATGCAAACTGCTGGTGGATCTACCATTCTGAGGTCTCTAGGGCAGTGTCCTCCTTCCCCCAGCTTCACTAGGCAATGCCACAGTGGGAACTCCTTGTGGGCCCTCCAACCCCATATTTCCCTTCTGCACTTCCCTGGTAGAGCTTCTCTTTAAGGGCTCTGCCCCTGAAGCAGGCTTCTGCCTGGGCGGCCAGGCTTTTCTATACACCCTCTGAAATATAAGTGGAAGCTCCCAAGCCTTCTTAACTCTTGTACTCTGCATGCCTGCACGCTTAACACCAGGTGAAGGCCACTGTGTTGGTCCATTCTCATGCTTCTAATAAAGACATACCTGAGACTGGGTAATTTATAAGGAAAGAGGTTTAATTGACTCACAGTACAGAATTGCTGGGGTGGCCTTGAGAAACCTACAATCATGGTGGAAGGGGAGGCAAACATGTTCTTCACATGGAGGCAACAAAGAGAGTGCCAAAGAAAAGAGGGGAAAACCCCTTATAAAACTGTCAGATCTCATGAAAACTCACTCATTATGATGAAAACAGGATGAGGGGAGTGACCCCCCATGATTCAATTTTCTCCACCTGCTCTCTCCCATGACACATGAGGATTATGGGAACTATAATTCAAGATGAGATTTGGGTGGGGATATAGCCAAACCATATTATTCCACCCCTGGACCCTCCCAAATCTCATGTGCTTGCAATTTAAAATGCAGTAACGCCCTTCCAACAGTCCCGCAAAGTCTTAACTCATTCCAACATTAACCCGGAAAGCCAAGTCCAATGTCTCATCTGAGAAAAGGCAAGTCCCTTCTTCTTATGAGCCTGTAAAATCAAAAGCAAGTTAGTTACTTCACAGATACAATGGGAGTGCAGACATTGGGTAAATACACCCATTCCAGATGGGGGAAATTGGCCAAAACAGAGGGGCTACAGGCCCCACGCAAGTCTGAAATTCAATAGGGTAGTCATTAAACCTTAAAGTTCCAAAATTATCTCCTTTGACTCCATGTCTCAGATCCAGGTCACCCTGATGCAAGAGGTGGGCTCCCACAGCATTTGGCCGCTCCATCCCTGTGGCTTTTCGGGGTACAGGTGCTCTTCCGGCTGCTTTCATGGGCTGGCGTTGTCTGTGGCTTTACAGGTGCCCAGTTCAAGCTGTCAGTGGATCTGCCATTCTGGGATCTGGAGGACAGTCGTCCTCTTCTCACAGCTCCACTAGATAGTGAAGCAATGGGGACTGTGTGTGGGGGCTCCAGTCCCACATTTGCCTTCCACACTGCCGTAGGAGAGGTTCTCCATGAAGGCTCTGTCTGTGCAGCATACCTCTGCCTGGACACCAGGGCATTTCTGTAAATCTTCTGAAATCTAGGCGGAGGTTCCCAAATCTCAACTTTTGACTTCTGTGCACCTGCAGGCTCAACACCATGTGGAAGCTCTCAAGGCTTGGAGCTTGCAGCCTCTGTACCCGTGGCCTGAGCTGTACCTTGGTCCCTTTTAGCCGTGGCTGGAGTGGCTAGGAGACAGAGCGCCGAGACCCTATGCTGCACACAGTAGGGGAGCCTTGGCCCAGGCCCACAAAACCATTTTTCCTTCCTGTGCCTCTTGGCCTGTGATAGGAGGGGCTGCCACAGAGGTCTCTGACATGCCCTAAGGAGACTTTCCCCATTTTCTTGGTAATTAACACTCTGCTCCTTGTTACTTATGCAAATTTCTGTAACCAGCTTTAATTTCTCCCCAGAAAATGGGGTTTTCTTTTCTATCATATTGTCGGGCTGCAAATTTTCCAAACTTTTACGCTCTGCTTCCTCTTTAATTATTTGACGCTTAGAATTGTCTTCTACCAGATATCCTAGATCATCTCTCTCAGGTTAAAATTTCCACAGATATTTAGGGCAGGGGCAAAATGCTGCCAGTCTCTTTGCTTAAGTATAACAAGTGTCACCTTTGCTTCCGTTTCCAACAAGTTCTTAGACTACTGTGGCCTGGGCGTCATTGTCCATATCACTATCAGATTTTGGTCAAAACCATTCAACAAGTCTCTAGAAAGTTCCAAACCTTCCCACATCTTCCTGTCTTCTGAGCCCTCCAAGTCTCTAGGAAGTTCCAAAGTTTCCCACATTTTCCTGTCTTCTTCTGTGCCCTCCAAACCGTTTTGACCTTTGCCTGTTACCCAGTTCAAAAGCCGCTTCCACGTTTTCGGGTCTCTTTACGGCAGCACCCAACTTTCTGTGGTACCAATTTACTATAGTAGTTTGTTCTCATGCTGCTAATAAAGACATACATGAGACCGGGTAATTTATAAAGGAAAGAAGTTTAATTGACTCACAGTTCAGCATGGCTGGGGAGGCCTCAGGAAACTTACAATCATGATGGAAGGGGAAGCAAACACGTCTTTCTTCATATAGCGGCAGCAAGGAGAAGTGCCAAGCAAAAGGGGGAAAAGCCATTTATAAAATCATCAGATCTCGTGAGAATTCACTCACTATCAAAAGAACAGCATGGAGGTAACCACTCCCATGATTCAATTACCTCCCTCTGGGTCCTTTCACAGCATGTGGGGATTATGGGGACTACAATTCAAGATGAGATTTGAGTGGAGAGAGCCCCAAACCTTGTCAGCCACCGAGGCTTATGGCATGCCTTCTCTGAAGCAGCAGACTGAGCAGTACCTGGGACCCTCTGAGCCTGTGGCTGGAGTTGGAGCAGTCAGGATTCAGGGAGTAGTGTTCCGAGGTAGTGTATGGCTCTGATACTCTGGGCCTGGCCCATGAAAACATTTTTTCTCCTAGGCCAAAGGGTCTTTGATGGGAGTGGATACCTGGAAGACTGCTGAAATGCCTTTGAGGCCTTTTCCCCATTGTCTTGTCTATCAGCACCTGGCTATTTTTGAGTCATGCAAATGTATTAAGTGGTTGCTTCACAGCCCACTTGGATTCTTCCCCTGAAAATTTTCTAACACCTGGCCAAGCTGCAGATTTTTTAAACTTTTACACTCTTCTTCCTTCTTAAACAGATGTTCCAACTTTAACATCAATTATTTGCTCCTGCATCTGAATGAAGGCTGCTTGTTAGAAGCAGCCAGGCCACATCTTGTACACGTGGCTGGTTAGAAATTTCTTCCCACAGATACTCTAAATTATGACTCTGAAGTTCCACCTTCCACAAATCCTTAGGGCATAAACAGAATGCAGCCAAGTTATTCACTAAGGCACAACATGTATGACCTTTGCTCCAGTTCCCAGTAGGTGCCTTACTTCCATCTGAGACCTTGTAAGCGTGAAATTTCACTGTCCATGTCATATCAGCATTTTGGTCTCAACCATTTAACCAGTCTCTAAGAAGTTCTAAACGTTTCCTTATCTTCCTGTTTTCTTCTGAGCCCTTCAAACTCTTCCAACCCTTTCCTGTTACCCAGTTCCAAAGGTTCTTCCACATTTTCAGGTAATTTTTAGCAATACCCCACTCCTCAGTACAAATTTTCTGTATTAGGACATTCTCGTGTTGCTGTAAAGAAATACCTCAGATGGGGCAATTTATAAAGAAGAGAGGTGTAATTGACTCACAGTTCTGCAGGTTGTATAGGAGGCATGGTGCTGGTATCTACTTGGCTTCTGAAGCCTCAGGGAGCTCACAATCATGGCAGAAGGCAAGGGGGAAGCAGGCATGTCACATGGTGAAAACAGGAGCAAAAGAGGGAGTGAGGGAGGTGCCACACATTTTAAACAACTAGATTTTGTGAGAGGACAGCACCAAGCTGTGAAAGATTCTTCCTTATGTCCCAGAAACCACCCACCAGGCCCCATCTTCAACACTGGGGATGATATCTGAGCATGATATTTGGAGAGGCCATATATCCAAACTGTGTCACTCAGTATGGCATTTCATCTGGATAGGATGTACAACTAAGTAGAAGCCCCCTTAGTTTCAGATGTTGAGTATTTTTTTCCTAAGTTACATAACATTTGGTCTACATTAGTCCATTCATATAACATAGGTATATGCCTTGATGATATAACCTATTTTGTCTTCTCGTTTAAAATCATTTAATAGAATGGATTTCAAGTCAGTAATGTCAACAGAATTGAATTCAAAGTTATAAAGAGTCCTAGAAGGGGTTTTTTTGTTAAGAGAAGGATTCAAACTGTGGAAAAGAGATAGGATATATGTAGAATTCCACTTGCAATTAAAATATATGTACCGTTATTTTCTCTTTTCCTCTACTCTTGTGATTACTTCTATTCCTTAAATGGAAACAGCTGTCATTAAAACGTGAAAATATTTCTGTTTAAAAGCAAATATTTATTGATGCTAAAAGCATCAAGGAAACAAACACACTTTCAAGTTAAATTTGTTATTGTCATGGTACACTGAAATAGATTTTGTTATACTTTATATGCCTGAAATTAGTATGCTATGCAAAAGGATTAGAGTGAAAGATTTAAGCAGGTCAGCAGTGAAGATGCTGCCAGTAGCTGGTGTTAAATTGAACGTTTAATGTGTGTCAGCTATATGAATTTTTCTCTCTTAATTTTCATGGTAACTTGCTGAAATAGGTACCATTCCTATTTAATAGATGATAAAGTTATTCAGAGAGTTTAAATAGCTGATTGAAACGTAGGATAACAAAGACAATAATCCAGAAACAAAATTGTTCTAGCTTACACACTGTAGTATCCAAGTTGGCAAAAAAAAAAAAAAATCTTTAAAATGTTGTTAAATAAATTATAATTAAATTGAAAATCACCCTAAATTGAATATAGAATAATTTGTAATAATAAATAAACATGCATTCAACATGTTAAATGAGAAAAAGCAGATTGCGCACTTCAGGTATAATGATTCTATTTTATTTCATGTGCTTACACACATTGGGAGGCTGAGATGGGAGGATCACTTGAGGCCAGGAGCTTGAGACCAGCCTGGATAACATAGTGAGATGAGGGCATCTCTACTACTTAGGGCACACTGGCATGCTCCTGTAGTCCCAGATACTGTGGAAGCTGAAGTGGGAGGATCACTTGAGCCTGAGGCTGCACTGAGCTGTGATAGCACCACTGCACTCCAGCCTGGGCAACAGAGTGAGGCCCTCTCTCAAAAAGTAAATAAAAAATAAATAATTGTGCTTACATATTTATCTTACCAATGAAGATTGAGTTCAGCTGCCTGTAACAGAACACCAAAAATTGCAATGGCTTGAGCAAAGTTAAGTCATTTCTCTTTTATATAGAAGAATACAGAGGTAGTCATCCAGGACAGATAGAGTTGTGGTCATCTATTTCTTGCACCTTGCTAACATTTGTCTTCCAACCTGAGGATCATTCTGTGATCTACAATTACTGCTGGAATTCCAATCATCCTGCCTACATTCCTGGTGCCCAAAGGGAGGAAGGAATAGCAAAAGGCCGGGTGGGTGGGGTGGCTCACACCTGTAATCCCAGCACTTTGGGAGGCCAAGGTGGGCGGATCACCTGAGATTGGGAGTTCGAGACCACCCTGACCAACATGGAGAAACCCCATCTCTACTAAAAATGCAAAAAAATTAGATGGGCCTGGAGGCACATGCCCGTAATCCCAGCTACTTGGGAGGCTGAGGCATGAGAATCACTTGAACCCGGGAGGCGGAGGTTGCAGTGAGCCGAGATCGCACCATTGCACTCCAGCATGGGCAACAAGAGAGAAACTTCATCTCAAAAAAAAAAAAAAGAAAGAAAGAATAGCAAAAGAAACACACTTCATTTATTTGTACCCATATTAGTAATAGTACCTTATCCAGAATGACCCTAGAAAACCATTTACTTATTGTTCATTGGCCAAGAACATAATTACATGGCCACACTTAGTTGCAGGGAAGTATAGGAAATATTTATAGTCTGTACCTAGACATATTGCTGCCCTATGTACCTAGACATATTGCTGCCCTAAGTACTATTCTTGGATGACCATTTAGCGGCCTCTGTCATGACATATTTGTATTGAATGAATGATGATATTAAAAATACACATATGCATAAACATATTCACACAAACTATATATGATATATGCTATATAGCATAATTTTATTATCTATGTGCATTTTTCTTTACTTACAAATGTTTAATTTGGTCATACTTGATTTAGTATATCTAATAGTCGTTATAGGTCAGTCGGTCATATGTTTCTTTTTATTTATAATTTAAAATATGTTTTACCTTATATAATTACACTTTTAAAAATGATATGTTTAAAAACTAATAAATTTGAAAATTTATACAATTCATTCACGCTTTTCCATAAAACAACACTTCTGGCATTAATGAGTCACTGCTTTCCATAAAGTATACATAACAATTATATGTATTTATTACACATTCTATATTATATTATATATACATTAATTATGATATATAATTGTATCATGACTATGTATAACTTCATGGTATTATGTATATAACATCGTGGTATTATTTTCAAGCCTTTTGTTAATATCAGACTGTTTTACATAGCAATTAGGAAGCTAGAAATGGGTTCAAATCATTCCGTTGGTAATAATTTGAACTTACTTTTCTTTCATGGCATGAAAGTTTTTGTGTGCTACTTTTTACTATTCCTAAACCAAGAAACGTGAAGATCATGTGAATGTATTTGCTGTTCAATTGGAGGTCAGACGTTCAACTCAAGAAAGGCTTGGCGCAAGATAAATCACTCTGCTGTGAAATGAGTCCATAAACACAATGCACTTGCCAGCCCTCAAACAAAGTAGATTTACAAGTTTTTAAAAATCTCAGTGAGAAGTACTGTTGTTTCCTTGAGTGTAAGTTACTCTTATTCATGAATATGTTTAAATTTTAGAAAACTGGACCACAAAAGTCTATCCTAACTATAGTAGTCTGTGATTAAAATGGCAAAAGCAAAGGGTGTATGATTTTTAAGCTCATTTTAGTGCTATTTTCTAGTGTTTTAAATTTTTTTGGTTTGTTCTTAAATAGGTTTTAATTGGAAGTGTTCTTTTGAGAAATGGAACTAAAACTTTGAGTGGGGCAGTATACTTTTAAAGTCAGAGTCTATCCTTGGGTTCATAAGTTCATTCAATTTGGAAATTAAAAGTAGAGGAAACTGACAAGGGAGTTGGGGCGTGCTGTAGAATTACTCTCAAAGCTAAACATGGAGTTAAAACTGTGTCAAAACCATAATTAGTATTTGCCCTTGAATTGTCCTTGTTAATAGAAGTGGAACAGTGGAAAATACTGCATAGAGGCATTGTCTGGAAACTGCATTTCATAGCCAATAAATTCAAACCACCTTAGTGGAATATAATTATGAGGAGGAGCTATAGTCTCTGTGGCTGAAGAAAAAACAACAACAAGAACAACAACAACAAAAAACGCAGAGCATGTCTTGCTCTACATTCTAACTTGCATCATGGAATCCGCCGGATCTATGCCATTTTGGATTTCATTGCCACCGGTTGAAAGTGGTAGATTTCTTTTTCTTAAGTCGGCTAGAAGACCTAATTTTAGTAAGCCTAAAGGGCACTGAGCAATACAACTACTTTGGTGGATCGTTTCCAGTTTGAGGATTCCTAGTGCACAATCAGTGAATGTTGTATGGAACGCATGGTGAAGAAATACGGTTTAGTGAATCTGGAAACTTAAAAAAATTGGCCTTGGCATCGTGAGGAATTCCCATTTGGCCTTCAGCATTTTTGTCTATGTTGGCTTTTCTGTCCCAAGACTTTCTATAATCCAATTTATCACTTGCTTTTTGGGTTAAAGGGAAATAAAATTTCCACACTTCTTCAATACATGTGCTGGAGAGGACAAGGGGAGGGAATTTATTTTGTGTGTGTGTTGTAAAATCAGAAGCAATTGTTGAAAGGTGATGAACAGTTTGAAAGGTATGTTGTTCTCTTGTACTACATCCAGTGGTTACTATGAAGTTTTTCTCATCACTCTTTTGTATCCTTTCTTAAATTCTGCTGTGTGGCAGAGTATCTTATTTATCTCCATATTAACATGCCTTTTGCAAGGTTTAGTTATATTATTGCAACTGTTCTCAAAAGATACAAGCTTCCTCCTAAAACACGTCACAATCAGGTTTTGCTAGACAGCTACTAACAGCCTTAAATTAAACAGGATCTCAGGATGTCTTGTCAGTTTGGGTTTTCAGCTGCAGACAGTTGACAAGGGATAAAGAGGACAGAACTAATGCCACATGCCATCTCCCTCCAAAGAGAGAATCCTTGACCCCTGAGTTTACCATTCTCATTTTTGAGATTCCATTTTCACTTCTACCACATACAAATTGCTTTCCTTGTTTTTAACACAGTGAAGTAATTTGAAAAAAAAATCTGATAATGTATCTCATATCTCTATGTCTTTTAATAGGAAGAGGGCACATATTAATTCAACGTATTCATTTGCAAGAACACAAAATCCTGGACTTTTTTTTTTAACTTACTGATCATTATATATCTGAGAAATTTGGTGTAACACCAAGTCTTTTGTCATCAGTAGCTCCCATTTTTTAAAGACTTCTATCTCTATATTCAATAAATGTCACAATTATTTGCTATCATTATTTTAATATGTTTACTATTATTTTTATTTTAAAATATGTTCTCATTTTCATATACTTACTATTTTATTTTTAGTTTAAAAATATTTTTTCAGAAACCTAAAATGTCAGTGAATACAGGTAAATATTTATTCATTTTGACTACATAGAAATCTAAAGCAAATATTGATTGTGATATGTACATCTACATATTAATATAACATTTTTATAAACGTATTGTTTCTGTTTCAAACATGAGTCTTGGTCAATAATTGATATAAATAAAAATTCAAGTTTTCCACAAAATTTTGCTTATGTAAAATTAAATAAGGTAACCTTTATATTCAGTCAGTTCTGGCTCCTGGATAAATTGCATGCTTAGAAATTTCACTTTAATAAAATAAAAGTTTTCTCCTCATCTGTAATGTATTCTCCCTTTTACTGTACTGGCATCTACATATTGACTGTTTTCATGAATTATTTCTTCCCAAGATCCCTACAAAGAAGTAAAACTCATTCATAATAGATTGTATATTAATCCCCAAATTCCATGTAATTCTACAGAAGGAAAAAAACATAAACCAAAATCATGGTACTTGCAGTGGAAGAAGCATAAGCATCCTACATTTATACCCTTTTCCCCATAAATACATAGTGTGACTGGCAGCCTGCACAGTAATGATTAAATGAGACAATAAAATCTTAGCAATTCTTACCCTGAGTCTGGAAGTGATTACCGTGTCCAAGAGCAAGTCATTTCCTTTTTCTAGGTGTAGTTTTTTTATTCTACAAAATACTAGGAAGAGATTATCTCCAACAGAAGTCACATCTTCTGGGTCAAATTAGGATCACAAACATGTGTTTGTGTATTAAAATGTTTTAAATTTGAATCAGCTGACAATACTTCAAAAATTGGGAGATTTGATATTAATATCTTGTAACACATAATGGGTAAAAGACTGCCCCTGGCAAAAGCCTGCATCTCTGGTTCTCCAGAAGCCCCACCCTTCCCCCTTGCTACCAGTCACTTAAACCAAGTCTGTGTTGTGGCTTAATGTCTAATTGCCTTTTTATTTAAAATTCTGACTTTGGCCCCTGGCCTAGAATGACCATTAATGGTATATTTAGCCATGATATCTATGATTCTTTAACCAATAACTGCTTAAGGCTATCCTTGCCTTGATGTTTCTCCCAGAGCTTGCCTAGTCAAGCTTCATCCTCTTAGTTAATTATGGTCCTCTATAGAATATGTGCTATTCTGTCTTTTAAAGGCTTTTCCAGGGATACATTTGACATATTTAAACATGATAGCTAGGTAAGCTGTTTCAAAGGCATTATCCTCCATAAACATTCTACTCTTGTATAAAAAGTCATTTCAAAATATACTATTTTACTAGATTTATTCATGATTAAGTCAAGAGTTGCTCCATCGGATTAGTATTTATTTTCAATTGCCTTCCTTATATACATGTTAGATAGCGTTGCACTCTGAAACTGGATTTGAAACTTTATTTTTTTCTTTATAAAATATTAGTGCAAAAATCACAAAGGGATTCAAAACACACACACACACACACATACTCATTATTCAATAGATTTTGTATGTTTGAATTCAAGAAATGATGAGTTATAAGTTATATCTGAAATGTCCAGGAGAGTGGGTCTTAATTCAGAAAGAAAAAAATGGAAGGTAGTTAAAAATGATTTCCATAGTAAATACTCAATAGAATTATTCACTAAGAAGAAGGAAATTATGTTGAAAACTTAAACTTTTGAGGCTTTTCAAGAGTGTTAACAGGTATCTGTGACATATTTTTTAGTACTTTAATTTGGTGGACATATTCTTATAATCTGAGTTACAAATCAATTTATTAAAACTTCAATTAGTTTTTGTGAAAATAATGCTGTACAATAAATGATGCAAAATGTCAATTGACTAACCACCGACAAAATTTATCCCTCACTGAAATTCCTGTATGTTGTTAATGTGTCCCTGCTTTGGGCTGTAGGTTGGGTTCAGGTATCTATGTGTCTTTTAATCTGGAGCCTATCCTTTGCTGGGGAATAATATTTGTACAGGATAGGGCAGGATCGCATAAACAAGTCAAACCACACATGTGCATCTACATCCTGGTTGGATACAGCTTATTATATTAACTCACATTCGATTAGTTGAAGCAAGTCACAAGGTCAAGCTCAAAGTCAGTGAAGAGGAGCATTATAGAGGCATTGTGGCTAAACCACAATAAGCCATTTCAATGTGGGGAAGGAAGGAAGAATTGTGAACACATAATACTATCTGTCACATGAAATATGCTTGGTAATTTGCATTATTTTGGATATTTCACATAACAAATTCAAAATATAGCTTGAGAAAGATAATAGACAAAGATGTCACATATTTTGGAATGATGTTTAAGAAAGATGATGCTGTTTCAGTTCTGTAAGCTCTTAATATTTATCAATATGTCATCTTTGTTTTAAAATGTAAAGCTTTATCTACATGATGATTGTGAAAAGTGGGTACCAAGTTTTGGGCTATGTAATAGTACATGAAAGGAAATAGTCATAAGAAAATCATGAATTTAGAAAAACACCATTGCATTGATAGATTTTATTAGGGGTGTCAAATGTTTCAGCTTATAGGTTAGAGAAATATAAGCCCCTCTTTTCATACTGCTATGTGGTATGACTTGCTGTTATTATAAACTTCTGTACATTGCACTTGAGTTTGATGAAGATCCATAAAGATTTAGTCATTGAAACATAACAGCCATTGTGCCACATAACCTTGGGTTGAGGTCTCAATTCAGAGCCAACTTCAGACAGCACCATGAATAAAATTTGATCTTGCCAATTTCACATTCCCCATTTCTCCCATTCAATATGTACACATCGATGTTCCCAATGTCTTTATTTTGTCCTTTGGCTTTGGATTCCATATATATATATATATATATATATGCACACATACATATATATATGATTCTCCTTTAATTTCACTCAGTATCCTGTCTTACCCATTTTGAACATCTGTTTAATAAACAGTTATTATTAGGCACTCTGAATTTAAATAATCAGGAGACATGGTTCCCTAGGATGGTGGTATTCAAATGATTTTACAAAAATCCTGGCAGATTATAAGAAATAGATTTTAATTGCAGTCCACTAAATACATACATATACATGCATACATGAAGCAAAAATTTCACAAATAATAATAACCTTACTACAGGTATACATTATGATTTATTTTATTTCATTGGGGGTGAGTGTTGGTAGCCACTCACTAAATGAATGTCAGTCCCTAGTGTTTCTGAATTCAGTGTATAATAGCACTTTAAGATTTTAGGTTTAATGGTGGCCAGGGATAAGGGTCAGGGAAAGGGGCAGCTACACATATCTCCAGTATTATTAAATGCCAAATAAATAGTGCAGATAATAAGTGCTGAAGTGTTTAGAAAAAGGGGCCAGGCGCGGTGGCTCACGCCTGTAGTCCCAGCTACTGGGGAGGCTGAGGCAGGAGAATTGCTTGAACCCGGGAGGTTGAGACTGCAGTGAGCTCAGATCATGCCACTGCAATCCAGCCTGAGCGATGGAGCGAGACTCTATTTCAAAAAAAAAAAAAAAAAATTTAGAAAATGAAGAAGCTTATTTTGGCTAAAATGTAATACTAGAAGTTATCAAAGATGAAGAAGAAGAGGTAGGACTTGAATTTCATATTAGTGTTTCAAAATATATTAACATGAGGAGGTAATTTAATTATTATTTAGGAATGGTTATCAGCAAGACATATTTTAGAAGCTCTGTAATAGTTTCGAGGGATTAAGTATAGGAGTTCATTTTGGGAATTACTGTGAGATAAACATGAAACGAAGGATTGATTATGTATTATATCTGAACATGAATTCCAGGCCAATTATCTCAACATTTATCTTTCATGCAATGGAGATTTTCTTTGAGTTTCTGATATGGAAGCTAGAATGATGTAAAAAATATTTAGGAAGGGGAATTCGATATGCACCATGGTCACCTACGTGCTATTGTATTTTTTATGTTTTTCTTAGATTTTTCAATAAAAATTCTACCATGTGTTTTCTGGGGCTTGTTAGCAATTTAGTAGGAGTTATATTGAATAGTACTTTAACTCAAGTGAAGGATAACTAGGTACACTCTTGAGACAGGTGTTCATTGGCATATGATGTATTCATTTCACACATTATAGGTTCTAGCCTTAGAATTTTTCATGTTTTAAAAGCATTATTCCAAGCATCCAATGTATGTTGCGTTTATCCCATATGATTTTGTCCAGAATGGTTACTGTCCACAGAGGTTTTATCTTTGTCTGTGGTATTAAGCTTTTTGAGGACAATGCAAATGGCTTCATATTCGAGAATGATAATAATTTGGTCAACTTTTATGTACTGAGAAATTAATTGAAGATTTCAAAAGACTAAATAGCATGAAATATTTATAATTGCTGTATAGTGAAAAATAATGAGAGATTTTCCTATCCTTATACGGTATTTTGCAGAGGGTATAAGCAAAAGCTCTTGTGATTTTTATTCATTTTGGGGGGGAGAATTGGATAAATTATGTTATGTGTTTAAGGTACTGGTTTTTGTTTTATTGTAAGCAAACTTATTTACTTTTTATAGTGCTAGTCGTTATCAATGCCAGAGGACTGCTGAATTGTCCTGTTCCCACCTCCAGTCCTATAGGACTTCACCATCTAAAAACACCTTAGTTCCCATACAGCTTTGCTCTAGAGTCTAGAAAGATGCTAATGATTATATGCTAGAAGGAATCAAGTAATATTTGGAGGAATTGTTCTTGTGTCTTCTAGATTATCATTTTAGAAGCAAATCATGCTTTCTGTGAGATGTCCATAAGTGCCTCTATCAGAGACGGATTATAATGCTGTGGTGTTATGGGTCTGATTCTGTGGGGAGAATTTAGCTTACTAATTTCGAACATATATGCAATATGTATCAAATAGTAAGTGCTGCAAAGTATGTCCCTGTGCTTTAAAAGGGAATTACTGAAGAAATTTCTAATTTCACAATAAAAAATATTTTAGAGTAGCAGGGACTTGTTTTTAGGAAGGAAATCTGCCATATATTAGCAAGCACCATTACATTTTAAAGTGATATTTTTCAGGCATGTAAAGAGTCAAGTTCTTGAAAATAAGAACACCTTTATTATCATGTAACTGCATTTCAGCACTGCATCGCTCTCTGTATTCCCCTCTCCTCTCCTTGCCTACCTCTCTCACCTTTATTTCACTCTCTTCCTTCTAATCTTGTCACTTTGCTTTTCCTGCACTTTCCTTCCTCGAGGCATTTGTTTATGCAGTTTCTGTAGCCCCACATGCTTATTCTTCTCCTATAGGTAAACACAATTCCAATTTTTCAAAATCCATCTCAAATCACAGAGCCTTCACGATGGCTCCCAAAGCTTCCATCAGATTTAATTTGATGTCCCCATATTTGCCATAGATTGTGCTTTTAAAAATTGTAGTTATCCTTCTCTGTCTTATTTAATGGTAATTTATGTGTGTCCACTCATTTCATAATGCTCTACTGTAGGTTAAGGCCTATGTCTGGCTCACAAACATCTTACTCATTGACACAGAGATTTGCATAGAGCAGACACCAAATAGATAGTTACACTGAATATTTTATGAATCATATTAAAATCTATAGGTGGCTTTTAACCATACTTTATTGATGTTGTTTAATTAGAAGTCTCTCTCAAAAACTTCATATGCTTTGATGCTGGGGAGGATGCCTCACTCATTGTTGTATCCGTATTTGTAACTAACATTTATTGAGTTCCAGTTATGTGACAGACTCCTACTAGCTCTTTGCACTTTATATGGCTCATCTCATTGAGTTCTTAGAATAACCCACCAGAATAGGTGGGCAGTAATAGCTGCAGTTTATAGGGGAAAAAAAATTATGAGTCAGAGGCTAATTTACTTTCCAAGGTTTGAAGAGGCAGTAAGTGACAAAACCAAGATAAAAACTCAGAAAGCTTCATTACTTTCTGCAAACCTTGAACAATCTAGTGAATGAACGAATGTGTCTTCAGAGTTATGACATAACCAGCAGGAGAAAGAAACCATCATGCGACTTCCTAAAATACGATGCATTATTTCTTTCAACAAATTATTTAAGTAAGTGTACTATGCTTAGTAGTTATGTGAATCATTATCTTGGATTTTATTAACTGTAGGGCTGTAGACTTTGGAAAGAAAGATCCTAATACTGTGTTCAGGAATCAATGAGAAACAAAGATATTAGTAGAAAAATGGAGTGGAAGAGAGGCAGTGGGTGTATCGATTATGTACTTTGGTGATTATGATTTCTATGCTATGGATATTTAAAATTTTATTTTCCTCTTAATCTTCAATTTCCATCTTCTGGTAACTTCTTTAGATATAAGACCAAGACACTTTCTTTACCGTTATATCTGCTAGATTTTTATCCAGTGTATTTTAAGAAGTCTTTTTTATCCAGTGCCTTTTAAGAAGCTCAGTCCGGGTGCAGTGGCTCACGCCTGTAATCCCAGCACTTTAGGAGGCCGAGGCGGCGGATCATGAGGTCAGGAGTTCAAGACCAGCTTGGCCAACATAGTGAATACCTGTCTCTACTAAAAATACAAAAATTAGCTGGGCGTGGTGGCACGCACCTGTAGTCCCACCTACTCAGGAGGCTGAGACGGGAGAATCACTTGAACCCGGGAGGCAGAGTTTGCAGTGAGCGGAGACCACGCCATTGCACTCCAGCCTAGGTGACAGAGTGAGACTCCGTCTCAAAGAAAAAAAGAAAAGAAACAGAAGCTCAATAAGTGTTATTTGGGATAAAGCATTAACTGGTTTAAAGCTCAAGATTTTAAACAACTCAGGATTGGGCATTAAAGAATAACAGAAGCTACCATCTATTGAATTTTTATTAAGACATTTCAGGACACCAGGAGTAAGAATACAGGGTAGCTGTATTTGTTATCTATTGCTCCATAACAAATAATTCCAGACTTTCTGGCTTAAAACTACTCATTATCTCACAGTTCCTTTGACTAGGAATTCAGCATCTCTAATTTAAGGTCTCTAAAATGAGGTTCCAGTTAAGCGATTGACAGGGTCTGTCGTCTTATCTCCTGATAAGACTAGGAGGCTTGACTAGTGGAGGATCTGCTTCCAAGCTTACTTGTGGGGTCTCAGTTTTCTGCTGTCTGTGGGCCAGAGCTCTCTTTCAGTTGCTTGCTATGCAGGTGGCCTCATGGGACTTTCTCATGACATGGCAACTGGTTTCTCCATGGTGAACAGTCTAAGAATCTGTCAAGATAGAAGCCACAGTGTTTTTATAATCTAAATTGGAAGGGACATTCCATCACTTCTGCCACTTTCTATTGGTTTGTAGTAAGTCAGAAAGTCTAGCCCACATTCAAGGAAAGAGGATTATGGAAGGGCATAAATACCAGAAAGAGAATTTTGGGTGACTCCCTTAGAAGCTGCCTATCAAAGTACTTACCCTGCCATTCTGTCTACTTATCATTGTATTTCTCTTTAATTTGATCTTGAGGTTGTAAAGTGGCTATAAACTTTAGCCCTGCCCTGATGGAGTTCCAGGGGATTTATTTGGCTGTGGGTATTTATGATGTGCCTTTCACTGGATACTTCTTTATCCTAGTGGATAACCTAATTCCTGTGCCTAACTTGTTACTAGGTATACTTCACACACACACACACACACACACACACACACACACACACACACACACAGACACACACACAAACACTTATTTATGCTGGCAGACTGACAGTCACCTTTGCAGCTCTTGTCTGTTCTGCCAAGATAGTCACTCTCTGGGAAAGCTTTGACCAGAAGAAAAATTGGGTATGGATGTATTGGTCAGGAGACGTAGAGAAGGCAGCACAGCAAAACATATGAAGTATAAGAAGCAGTTTATTACTCATGAGTCCACGAGAGAAGACGGCTACTATATAGGAAGCAGGGGGCAAGGTTGCAGGGGCAATGTGCTGAACCATCAGATCAGGAGCAGATAGAAAGAGGACCTGTGGGGCCATGCCTTTATTGAGCTATGGGGGTTACCCGTTAGGCTTTCCCATAGAGGTTATTGATTGGCTAATTTAAAGACAACACACATGAAGAGGGGAGCTTATTCCCATGACTCTGGTGTTGACATTAGGTTTTGTGGTACTAGCTGTGGGTGTGCTGAGCTGTAGATCAGTAAGATGAGAATCAAGCAGATTACCTTACAAATGACCACGTGGGGAGAGGAAGATTTAACTGGGCCAGGGGTGAGGGCAGGGACCTATGTCAGTCCTAAAGTAGATGCTGAGGCAGCAACTATGTGAAACACATTTATGACACACATGCTCATTGCAGATACTAGTAATTGATGATAGCATTATTTCAAAATGAGACAAGATTTGGGACTACAAAACATTCTCGAGGTAGTGTTCCAGGAAGCTACTGACTGTCAATTATTTAGGATTGGAACTCCATTTGAAATCTATTTGTTCTTTATATTGTTTTTTTTTAAGTTTATCTTCATTAAAAAGCTGCAAATTAGGTATTCATTTTTTTATTCCACTTTGGAGAAAACAACAACACTAAGAAATGTCAAAATTAATCATTGATATATTTGTGACCAGTACCTTCAAAACTAGTTCAACCTACTGAAAACTACTCAAGCTCTTTCCACCACATAATAGCACTTTCAGATATTGTTTTTGCAGCTTAAAGGGAATTTGCATTTAGGTATGTGTACAATATCAACAAATTGGTGCTACAGGCACATTCAATGTTCTTCTTTTTAGAGGAAATTAAATTCAATTTGATTAGGTTGATGTGGACAACATTAAAATAAATGTTAACCTTATTCTGTATTTATGAATCAATACTGATAGTTTTAAGATACCTGGCCATTCTACTTGTTGGTAAGGTCTTGGAATAAGGAAATCTTGACAGAAGTTTTGAAGAGTATATTCTTTATCATTTCAAACTGTGAAAACTATGCACTTTCCTAAGAGTAGATTTTAAAGTCACACAAGGGATCATGCTGAAAACTGACTTCTAGAGTCTTTGCTCAGCAGGTTGTTGCATTTTTTTTCTTTACTATTGAACACTCTTTTGTTCATGCCTTTTTTCTTATTGCTTGCAGAAATGTGACAAGCTTCAAACTTACACAGAAAGAATAAGTAGTAGAGATACTAGGTATCATTGCACAGCCCAGATGTCTTTTGAAAATATTTATTCAGCTGAACTAGAATTTCAAAATCTATTAGAAAGGTAAAATATATCTTGGAAAACAAAAGCAGATTTTGAATAAAACATAGGTAAAAAAACTTTTAAGTAAGAAAATATGAAAAAATGGCAACAGCTTTAAATGATAACTTGATGGCTTCCACAGAATAATTCATAGTGTAGGTATTTTTTATTAAAACTTGACAAATATTCTAAAAAATGTAAAAGTGAAAATTAGGTATTTTAACTGAGAAAGATGAAATTGGCACCATCTAAAAAAATTTTCATGAGTTCCATTTGTGTTAAGAAAATATTTCTTATTTAATCAAATACATGTGCAAAATGTTATCTTAAAATCCTTTTAGAGTTTTGATAAAGAATGCTCAATATGAGCATACATATTCAGCCATTAGTTATATTCACATTCTCTTCCAGAAATAATCTGTTAATAATTAAATGTGTTTTATAAACACTTACATAATGAAACTCAAATTAGCTTCTCAGATAAATTGTTGTTGCTGTTGTTCAGCTGGTATTGTTATAAACCATCATTCATATAACTTTATTATATTGTGAGTGTTTTCTTTGAAACTGATCAACCTCAGCATTTAGGATATGTGGACTATTAGATGGAGAAATGAATATTTGCCTTAGCATAGTAATAAATATTGTTAGACTGACACAAATATTAGCCTGCACTCATAGTGCCTAAAATAGGCCATTCCAGTAATTGCTTAGAAAAATATTATTTGTACAGCTTGTAGAAATTTACAAATGAACAGAAAAACTCTGCATTTGACCTAGGATATATGAATTCTTCAAATAATAAATATATCAAATATATTCTGAGTTTGAAATAGTCTTTACCTTGAGCCACCAAAAAGGAAAAGAAAATAGAATCAAGATTACTTGTTAATTTTCAATTTTGGGGTGAAAAACCTTATTAAACTTCTCCAGTAACTAAATCACATAAAGTTCTTCAGTACAAGTTAGATTGTGGAAATAGTTCATGTAGTTATTCCACGTCTCCTTCTAACAAAATATCAACAGTTCAAATATCCAGTTTCCTTTTCATTTATGCACCATTGTAGTTGCTAATATAAATGTTGGATCTTTCTGCCTCCCACTCACACCTCCAGCCCCTCCCCTGCCCACGCACCTGCACTGGCTCACATTGGTGCTCTTTTTCTGCGGGCTGCGCTGAGCAGAAAAGGTGAGGCTATTCAGGGTTCTGTAATGCTCAATTCCATGTTCCGTTTCTTTTCCTCAGAAACAGTTGAAACCTATCTATGGATGAAAAACGCTTCATAATCCAAACATTACTTCAATCAGATGTGAAGAGTGGGTTTGCTGCACTGTAACATGCTATTATTGCTTAGGTTTATTTGACAAAAGTGAACAACCACAACTTTCAGGAAAAACTTTTTTTTTTTGAATTTTATGTGAGTTGTCCTTTTGGAAATAGATAGATGAGAGAGAGACAGAGGGACAAATAATCTGTATGAATTTTGGCTTTTCTCTTGAGTATAAATGTTTATCTTTCCCCCTTCAATGTAACTTGCTTGGATGTTCAAGTGTGGAGTACATTTCTTTTCTAAAAGACAACATATTTTTCAATTTTATTCATTGATTTATCACTCAAAACATGCACTTGAAGGTACTCTTAGTACTCTCCTTCATGGCCAGTTTATCTATACCGTTTTTTCAGAGTTTCTTGAGACAGCTTGCTTTTTTTTGTTTGTTTGTGTTTTTTGTTTTGACCGAGTCTCCCTCTGTGGCCCAGGCTGGAGTGCAGTGATCTTGGCTCACTGCAAACTCCGCCTCCCGGGTTCACACTATTCTCCTGCCTCAGCCTCCCGAGTAGCTGGGACTACAGGCGCCCGCCACCATGCCTGGCTAATTTTTTGTATTTTTAGTAGAGATGGGTTTTCACCGTGTTAGCCAGGATGGTCTCGATCTCCTGACCTCGTGATCCGCCCGCCTCGGCCTCCCAAAGTGCTGGGATGACAGGCGTGAGCCACCGCGCCCGGCCTGAGGCCGCTTGCTTTTAAAGAGCTCTCGCAAACAGGTAGCATAGGTGACTGCCTTTTGACCTAAAATGTGATATTTTAGAATATGTTACTAGAAATTTGCAATAATGTTCTTAAAATTATTAATCTTATTGATGTGTTTCTGGAGCCCAGTACCAAACACTGATCCTAAAGATTGAATTTGGAACGAGGCCAATTTAGTGTTTCCCTAAACTGTTTTGGGTAGAACGCTAATAATAATGCCATGTGCTTTTACTAGTATTTCATAGCCAAATACATTTGGGGATTACAGAGTTAGCCCACTCGTAGCCGTCTTGTGGACTGCACGGAGCCTTTACTGTGCTTGCATGCATCATGCACCCACCTCTCCGAGAGTGGTGTCATATATGTCCATTGATTGGAATGAGCAGGTTACTCCTGCTTCCCTCTGTAGAGCGCATCATGCAGAATTGTTTGTGTGTGTGTGTGTCTGTGTGTGTGTGTGTGTCTATACCACTTTGGATATCACTCAGTTAACAGTTATTGTCTAAATCATTCTTGTGATAAGAATGATAATCTTATTATATAAATGATAGAACTATACTTGAGAATACAGCCTGATTGTTTTATCTATCCATTTTATCATTAAAAGTGAATTGAAAACTTTACTATTATGAACCCTGTCGTTTCCTATTGAGGTTCTTTAACACTAGAACCTGCAGAATTAGCCATACTTTGACATTAAAACTATTACATTGCCATCCTCTCTTTTTCCCTGGTGAATATTTAGGTGCACTTTGAGATCTGGTATTGCTCTAGTGGTGTGCCTATTTTTTTTTAATATTTTCATTTTTGTTTAATCTACAGAGAAGTTCCGAGATCCTCCAGAGCTCTGATGGGAAGAATTGTATAGCGTGTCCCCTGCCAAAAGTTCTAATAAAAAATTTACACAGCGGAGGCTTTGATTAAATGAATTATTCATTGACAACTATCCATCAGGGAATTAGAAGTTTATGGCAACATGAGCTGTGGAAAATAGAAAGAAAAATTACCCATTACTAACTTTTTAAATGAGAAAGTCAGAAACTCAGATTGAATGTGAATTTAACCCTGCACATGGAAAGACACTATGCAAAATATTGAGAGGAGTTACATAACCTTTATGCAATTTATTACTTAATAAGCACATAATTGGCTGCTAATTAACAGTTGTAGCATCTTTCTTTCTTGTCTTTCCTCTCGTTAAGCGTAATATTATGTGTAGAACTAGCATAGTGTGGTTTCTGACTTTAACATTCTTCTGTAAGATCACTTGTGTTCAGCACCTCGCACAGGGTTCTATTCACAGAATAGAATCCTATTTTGTTTTCTTTTATATTAGAAATAGTCCATGGCATCTTGACAAGGTGTTATGAACCAGAGAGGAAAGGTCAATGATTTAAACCAGCTTTAGGAGAAGCATATATAGAAGTTGTTTCTCGGCTTTCTGGAATGAATTTTAACAGCCACCTATAATTGAAAGCATTTCATGCAGGGCATTTCACAAAATGGACATTCAAAAACTACAGGTTGACCTGTACTGAAGACGTGAAATTGCTTTGTGCCTTTGAGAAGTACTCTTGGATAAACCATGCCATTGTCTATATTGAGTTCCCTGATTAAATAATAGTCTCTCTCTATCTCTTTATCTCTCTCTAGCTAGCCATCCATCTATATATATAACACATGCACATACTCAAATAAATATTTACATAACGAATCTATCGATGTATATTAGTAAGTACTATGCATTCAGCACATGATTAGGGTGCATAATCTCATATGCACGTTGCAAAAATCTTTGAGGGGTAGTATCATTAGTAATATTTCATATATGACAAAACTGAGGTTTAAAGAGTTTAAGGGACTTTTCCAAGTTCACATACTAAGAGAAACAGTTACTATATAAGTCACGTTAGCCGCAAAGGCAAGCCTTTCTTCTTTTTTTGGATATTATATAAAAATTATATAGAAAAGTTTCTTTTTAAACCTAAGCCATGGGAACAATTCTTCAGTTTTCATTTTATTCTAGTAAATTTCTTTTCTTTTCTTTTTTTTTTTTTTTTGAGACGGAGTCTCGCTCTGTCGCCCAGGCTGGGGCGCAGTGGCCTGATCTCGGCTCACTGCAAGCTCTGCCTCCCGGGTTCACACCATTCTCCTGCCTCAGCCTCCCGAGTAGCTGGGACTACAGGCACCTGCCACCACGCCCGGCTAATTTTTTTGTATTTTTTGGTGGAGACGGGGTTTCACCGTGTTAGCCAGGATGGTCTCTATCTCCTGACCTCGTGATCCGCCCGCCTCGGCCTCCCAAAGTGCTGGGATTACGGGCGTGAGCCACCGCGCCCGGCCTATTCTAGCATATTTCAACTCTTGGTGGCAGAAACATCTTTCTTAAATTTCACCCAGAAGTGAATTACATGCCCACCCTTTCTTTTTCCGGATGGATATGTGGAGAGAACAATTATAGTTCTACTTTGCTCTTGGCTGTAGGTATAGTTGTTAATAATTAGAAAACACTCGAATGGCAGGTTGCCAATTAGAGAGGGGAGTATAAAGATACACAGAACCCGGGCAATTCAAATTTGGGACAATCGCCTTTAAAGACATTGAGAGTTCACTAAGGTTGCTGATGAATCCTGTCACTTGTATCAGTCAAAAGGATAATTTGTAAATAGCCTGTAGAGAATCAAAGGCCAGAATATACTCTCTTTTCTGACAAGCAGAAAACACATTATATGGGCTAATTTTCCCTGCATTTTTATCTTAAAAAAAGGAGATGGGTTTCTAATTCTGCAAGCAAATATATATTTTTTCTAAATGTGAGCTATTTCGAAAAACCTAAAACCACTCATCCTAGAGCAAGAACAGGGCTAGGTTGAGTGTCCAAGAGAAGACTGTCACAGGACCTGGCACATTAGTGAGAAAGGTGACATTACTCCAGGGGAACTTAATGATGCCATTTATTTCTTGATGCTCTGAGGTACAGCCCCCATTTAGACAGATTACTCTGAGAATTTTGTAAGATATCCAATGAGATACAATCATCTTTATTGGTGGCACTGTAAAGGCAAGTATGAGAGATTTTGGCAAGATCATCTTTTTTTAGAGACACATTTATCATATTCCTTTTTACCTTCTTTATTAAGTAGGTACTAATACTATTTCTGATTCACTGCTCTCTACTCCAAGGATTGCACTAATAGGAAAATTTTCATAAAGCTTTTGGCTAAGAACTCCTGCTATTGACCTATGCCCCTTTGTGTCTAGGTTGATCCAGAAGATACTTCAGCATAAAAATAAATTCCAACAAAATTTAGTTTCAAATTATAAAAGTTGATATTTCTGCTTTATTTGTCCAAAAGAGGTTCTAAAATGAAATTTTCTCAATTTCAGGTCCATTAAAAAGTCTGAATCTTATAAATATGCATAGCTTTTATAATACTTATAACTTAGATATTAAGAAAAATCAAGATGTACATTATTAAAGAAATAACATTTCCATTGTTTTCCTTTCTCAGAAGTGGGATAAACAAGCACTGTAAACTGAAATAAGCAATGCATTCTCAGTTCCCTCCCAAAAGAAAATACTGGTGTGCCTGACTTACCATTTCAGAAAGTCCAGAAAACGCTGCAAACTAGGCAGGCAGTCAAGTGCAATGGCAATGAATAACCTTATAAAATTTCCAGACTTTAAGACTGTCAGTCTGGAAGACTACACTATCTTTTAGCACAAGGTACTTTTGGAGATTACTCTAGGGATCTTAGAGAATAATTATACTTAAGTCCTGCCAGGGCCTTTTTTTTTTTTTTTTTTTTTTTTTTTTTTTACTGTAGTCAATAGTACTTCCATTGTACTCCTTACATGACATTATGTTACAGAAGAAAATGTTTTATAACAATGTCATTTGAGTGCTTCAGTTGTTACCTCTCCTTGAATACATATGAAAGAATAATTACCTTTGTAGTAAAGGACATTCTAGTTATACATCTATACTTTATTGGTTTCTTCATGTTTTTCTCTTCAGAAGTAGAAACTTAATGAAAATATTGCGTAAGTAGAGAGCAGTTTATGACAGTATTTCTTTCTAAATAAATTAAAGATTTTATTATATCTTGAAATATATCACATATGTAAAATATTAAGTATAATGTTTGTGATCATTTTGAAACACAGACTTTTAAACTTTAATAAATTATATCCAAGTAACATTTTAAATTTGTTATCTAACTTCTACTGTTAACATCTGAAAAAAATTAGAATTGGCAGACATGCAAGATGATGTTGACTTTGCAGCCAGAAAATGTGGAAAGGCCTCAATTAGTATCCCTGATTCACACTTACAAATGGGTGTTTCAGTGCTGTGCAGTTTGATAAGGTAGTTAAGGCCATAGTTTGGGAGACAGATAGGCATGGATTCCAGTCCTGGCTCAGGCATTTCTACTTACGCTATTCGGGCATGTCAGTTTTTCTTTCTAAGGCTCATTTCCCTGTGTGTCCATGAGGAAATAATGTGTTTCCTTGGTAGAAAGATGGTTGTGAGGGTTCAGTGCAATCATGCATATGCATAGTAAGTATTCCATATATCTCAATATCATGATTTATTTCTTGCTACACAAACTTACAGTCTACTCACTACCTTTGATGTAAAGCTGTCCCACTGTCCTTCTGTGCTTTTTCTAGAGGTTGAGCTCTTCCTTCATTTCTGGAATAGTTACTGATTTCACCAGTAATTTGCCTTTTAGATCCGTTGTTACAGGTGCCTTTTTGAATCTGACTGCTCAAAAGCTTTGTCCATTTTGTGTTGCTATAAAGGCATACATGAGGCTGAGTAATTTATGAAGAAAGGTTTTGGTGCTCATGGTCCTGCAGACTGTACAAGAAGCACGGTGCCAACATCTGCTTGGCTTCTGGTGAGGGCCTCAGGCTGCTTCTACTTATGGTGGAAGGCAAAGGGGAGCTGACTATGCAGAGATCACATGGGGAGAGAGGAAACACATGGGGGCAGGTGGGTGATATGCCAGGCTATTTTTAACAAACACTTCCCTGGGAACTAGTAGGGTGAGAATTCAGTTGCCCCAAGGGAGGACATTAAGCTATTCATAAGGAATCCGTCCCCATGACCAAAACACCTCCCACTAGGCCCCACCTCCAATATTGGGGTCAAATTTCAACTTGAAGTTGGAGGAGACAAACATCCAAACTATAGCAGAAGCCTTTTTTTGTTTTTTAAAGCTTTAGCTTTACCTGCCATATATAATAGTTCAAGCATAAAATTCAATGTCTTTTAGCTTTTTTAGAGTTGTGCTGCCATCACCATAATGAAACTATGAGACCTTTCAAAGAGAAGACAGGTGTAAACTTGTGTTATCTTTGATTAGGTTATGATTTATTAGATTTGACACCAAAAGCGCAAGCAATGAAAGAGAAAAATTCAAGTTAGACTTCACCAAAATTAACAGCTGATATGCCTTTAGGAAGCATGTAAACTCAGAAGCCATTCTTACATGACTGGCTCATGGACATCATTGATTTGACCAGAAATGGACATTAAAACCATGGGAGGCTGATGCAGTCTCTCATGTATGAATTTGAAATAGACACAAGGGAACACCATGAAGAGAATCTCTGTGGACCTTAACATTTTCAAATTTTAGAAAACAACATTTTACTATGTGGAATGGACAGGGAGAGTGTCAATGAGAAAAACAGGAGGAGGAGGAAATGAAGAGAGTTTGGCTTAAAATGTTACCACTCAAAATGCCTAGCATGAATTGGGGCAGGTCCATGAACTGCTTGTTATTGGTCTCTACCCAATAAGAAGCTGGCTCCAGAATGCAGTTCAGTTGACATTTTCTTTTGTAAGAAAGATTTTCTCAATTAAAAAAAATCACCGTGTTGATTTGCGTTTGATAGAATCTTGTCATCAGACACCAGAATTTTGGGTAGCATTTTTCTTTTTTTTCTTTTATCTTTTTTCTTTCTTTCTTTCTTTTTTTCTTCTTCTTTTTTTTTTTTTTTTTTTTTTTTTTTGGAGACAGGATTTCTGTCGCCCAGGCTGGAGTGCAGTGGTGCAATCTTGGCTCACTGCAACTTCTGCCTCCTTGCTTTAAGCGATTCTTATGTCTCAGCCTCCCAAGTAGCTGGAATTATAGATGCAGGGCACCACGCCCAGCTAATTTTTCTATTTTTAGTAGCGACAGGGTTTCACCATGTTGACCAGGCTGGTCTTGAACTCCTGATCTCAGGTGATCCACCCACTTTGGCCTCCCAAATTGGGTAGCATTTTTCTAGAATATTGACACTTTAAGCTTTCTTATGATACTCACTTTTTTCTTTCCTACACTGTTATGCCCAGTGGGAGAAGGTTGCTTCTCTTAATAGTTCTCAGTAAATGCTGATTAAATAAACTGTAGAAGGGTAAATAGTTAACAAGATTCTGAATTTGGACTTGTGATTTTTGAGGCAAAAATAATAGGTTGAAAGACATGTTTTTTGGATCAACAGGCTTGTATGGAGGTAGACATTTATAATCTTAGTCATACTAGTGAGTGATGGACATTTTATTACTGTTTTGCAAAGGTATGGACAAAGTCTTAAGATCTATGTCTTCTACTTTTAGGCATGTAGGTAAAAATGTCAGTAACAATGCAGAAAGCCAGTTTATCTATTTAAAAAATGAATATATTGGAAGCCTTGAATATGAGGCTGAGTAATGCAAGCTTTTCCCAGGAGAACTGTGACTTCTTGAGGCCCAAAGCTGCACTCCGGAATTATAAGTCCTGAGACATAGTCTATAAACAATAAGTAAATATCAGTCCTATAGCTCAGTGTTCACCACTGATGACTTCTCACACATAAGCAATATCATGTTAAGCAGATAGATACTCATAGTCATCCAATAGTTTGCAGTGGGAAAATAGTTTGCTAAAAAGCAAGATGTCATATGTGTTGTTATATTTTTCACACATGTTGAGAAATTATCTCTGTTGAAGATTTCTTGAGTTAACCTTGGGGCATTAGCCTTTGCTGCAAGGTTTGAAAAACTCAATTTTTCCCATTCAGTGTGATCTATTACAAGCTATTCTGCTTCCTGAATTTTTGAGAGTATTGCTAGTTATTTTATTCTCAGTTACCTAAGAAGGGTCATATGAGGGAATGTTTTGATTATCCTAAATTCGTTTCTATGGATAACTTCATATCTTTGTTCAGATCTGATTTCTTCCATAGTCACTTAAACTTGAGAATTCTATCCTATCTTCCACAAAAGCTATCATTGAAATAGCTGTGCTTTCCACTTAAAAAGTGAAAAGGTTAATGGTATGGAGATGAAACTGGAATCCAATCCTCATAAACAGTACTGTCTTTTCCATTTTTATGTTGCCTTTTTGGTCACCTAGACCATACACAAGAGATTTTATTTTTCTTTTTGTCTGATTGCTTCTAAACAGATTTCTATTACATCTCCAAATTTCAGTTTCTCTCCCACTGTTCACTCTAGGATAAAGTGGAGTTCTTACTTTATTTCAATAGAAGCTAGAAATAGGTACCTTAATGAGGCAACTCTTGATTTTATTTCAGAACTTGGTAAAACTTCGGCTTTTCATTTCAAAAACAAAAGTAAGCCTCTGTGCTTGCTGATCTGTGTTCCGAAGACTTATTCTCCCTGTGCACCCACTATTTCTACTAGCTAGAAGTAAGGCAGAATTCCCGTAGAGTAATTGTGTTTCAGTTGTATTTCAGACACCACAGACATGAAAGCTTCACAGAAAAGGTTGCTTCTTCCTCAGTGGAGCTCATTTGGTAATAGATGCCAGGTGCATGACTGATGCTGGTTTGAAATGGAGGACCCAGTAATGGCTATATCGCTTGGTGAAATCGCATGAGCTCACCAGAATTAGAATATGCCCGTAGGAGTAAACATAACTTCTCATTTTTGAAAAATTCGTAACTTCTCACAACTTTTGTTGTTCTCATTGCTATTGATATTGTTTTAATAATATTCATCTCTATCAGTGCCCAGCAAGAAAATATATGCAACAAATATTAGTTGAATGAATGTTTTAATCCACACAGTAAGAGCCATAGGATATAAATATACATGATCAATATTCCACTGCAGAAACCACTGGATATCTTAAAACATTATAAAGTTACGTGCAGAAAACTATTGCTGTGCTTTATGATTTTAAAAGTAAGGTGTATTTATAATAAAATATTTAAAAATACTGAGAAATTTTAGAAATTTTAAAATAGTGACCCAAGAATAATCTTTAGTTTTAGTATTAATTTTTACATATGTACTTAAAAATTACTGTTGTTGTTATTATTATTACATTTGTAAAATGCAATTGGAGTATATTCATTACTTTAAGGTAGGAGTGGGGAAGTGGTTTACTTGAGAAAAATGACATCTAGTTTTGTACTTTTTCTCACGCTAAGAAGTACGTAGAAACAAGCAATCAACTGAATAACTTTAGTGTTTATTTTTAAAAGTGATATATATCCCAACAACTTGTAACTTATTCTTTAAATAACAGAATTTAAGAAAATGAACAATATTAGATAATATTACATAATAGTTATGTCTCACTTTTAGTATTTTTGTCTTTCTACATGTATGAATTTTATAATTAACTATTACAATTTTTAGACTTCCAAACTAATTTTCATGATTTTGGTTATCTGTATTGGGGTACAATTTACATACAATAAAATTCACCAATTTTACATATAAAATTTGATTAGTTTTGGAAAATGTGTGGTATTTGCCCCTGGTTTTCTGAAAATAGAATTAAAAACCCATCAAATCTTTTATCCCCCTTCATCTCACTTCCAGTAGAGATATACTTCTTACATTTTATACTTATAATGTCTTACCTATAGAAACTGATAGAATAGGGCCTTTCACAATACTAATTATTTCATTTGGTGTTTACAGCCAAGCAGTTTTGCTCCTCAGAGGATCTTAACTGGGAACTAACCCTCATCTGTAACTATAGTTTCTCACACCATCAAACTTTACTTAAAATGTGCCAGAGCCTAGTTAAATGTCAAAGAAGAGGCCTGGTAGCCTTTGTTTGGAAATAGAAGACAGTATCTACTTTGAAGTTATTGTTTCTAACCAATAGCATCCTCGGATTTTAACATTTTTGTTTTATTTTGTTTCAGTCTCACTGACAAAATACCTTTCCCATTTTGTGCCTTAATTTCCGGTTTGAATAGCAATATCTTAGCTCAATCTTTAAAAATAAGCACTGTTTTTGTCCCTTTTACTGACTGTTTGCTTTTTTTAAAAAAAGTCCAAATTAGTTTCAAGATCAAACTTCTATGTATATTTAGAATCTAGCCTTGAATATTTCCTAATTTATACTGAATTCCATTTATGTATCATTCTTGGATTAGATTTTCTAATCTGGCCATGTTTTTTTCTTTCAGACCTGTTACTAGCTCACTCTTTTCTATTCAAATCTTATTTCTCATCCTGGCCTATTTCCCAAGTGCAAAGACAGCGGGGCTTCCTGTGTCTTAGGGCTGCCCAGAGCTGATGCATATCACTCAATTACGGTATTATAAATAATATTTTTAGAAGTATATAATAAAAATATTACCACCTTAACAGCTTAAACCTGAATTTGTAATCAGGTTAGAATTAATCCATGAAAAACTTTGTGATATAGAGCATTGTGTTTTTCTATGCACAACTTTGTTGAAATTCTAGCACTTGGGAAATGATGTCTACTCAAGATTTACATTGGCTAATTCTTCTCATACTAATTATTTTTACTATGTTGATTATTTATTGTTTTATATTGGTTGATGGTTTTTCTTGAATGCTCAAATAAGCAGCCATTCTTGATAACTATTGCTTATCTCAGATGTGAAGTATATAATAACATTTTATTACTGGTTTTGGTTATTGGAGTTTATTTTAACTAGGATTTTACTCTTAGTTCAGTTTTTAATTCAGTCTGAAAGGTATTATTACCAGGTAGGGGAGAGGTCAAATAACGAACATTATTTTCCAATCATTCTGGCAATCTTTAAAAATGTGGTTCCCTGAGTATGTATGTAGTCATGTACCACGTAACAGTGTTTCGGTCAGTGATGGACTACATATATGACAGTGGTTCAATGAGATTTTATTACCATACTTTTACTGTACCTTTTTACATTTAGGTACAAAAGTACTTACCAAGTGTTACAACTGCCTGTAGTATTTAGTACAGTAACATTCACAGATTTGTGGTCTAGGAGCAATAGGCTAGACTGTATGGCTCAGGTGTGTAATATGCTATACCATCTAGATTTGTGTAAGTGTACTCTATGATGTTTGCACAATGACAACATAGCCTAACGATGGACTTCTCAGAGTGTATCCCGGTCCTTCAGCAATATATAACTATACATATGATACTGGGTTGTGATCATTTCCCAGTTACAAACAAATTAGCTATCAATTTTCTCCATAATATCAAACTCTTATGTGATTCTAAGTAAGTAATTGGCAGAAAGGAGAATTCACATTAGTTTACTGAAAAAAACACAGTGTAGTTTTATGAAATCTTGCCTGTTAGTGATATACCCTATTCGCTTTTGTTGACAAAATGCAAATTACTTCTTTAATATTACTCTTCTCCATAACATTCTGATTTGTTTAACCTTGTCATGTTTCTGTTAAACCAGTTCAACAGAAAGGGCTCATCCACTTATAAATAATGCATTATCTTTCAAAAGCCCTAGTAATTTTTTGCTTATAATCTCTGGGTAGCTTCAGTAAGTCAAAACATGACTTCATATTCTAACTTGTCAAACTTTTAAGCATCAAGCAATTTTTCCTGCACTTTTAATTAACTGCACAAAATATTATCTGTAATGAATAGATATGTTAACAAGTTATGTTAGAACAGGACAAGACTAGCTTTTGGCTCAGTGGGGTAGAAAAAAGTAAATATATTCTTATTGCTGTTGTTAGGAGGTAGCTATGTTAGAATGTTGCTATGGAAGAGAGATGCTACTGAATTGGGTGCAGTGAGGGGAAAACATGGGAGTTAAAACATGTGGGTTATACACCTATGTATCTAGGATACCATGCAGAAGAGGTTGGAATTAGACTGATGGTTAATCAATGGGATAAAGGGATGTGTTTTCAGTCCTTGTCAGATGAATTTCTACTTTATCCTCTGGATTATTGGCCCTTATTCTTCTTTCCCTTAGAACTTATCATTCTTCAAAATTACAATTATTTCTGTAATCATATCAAATTATCAGCTTCTTAATGATGTTTCTTACCCACTGTGTTTTAGCATCTAAGATATGGATGTGTAGCTAATTGTCATAATAGCTAACTAGCATTCATTGCACGTTCATATAATGTCCAGCTCTTTGTTAAGGGCTGAAAGCTCATTATCTATTTTAGGCCCCACAACACTCTGAAGTTGGTATTCTTAGGAATTCTGTGAATGAGAAAGCTAAGACTTCAGGAATTTAGTGATAAATTTAGGTAAAAGTTAGAGCAGGCCCAGGACCTACGTCTCTCTACAGTGACATACATGCCCTGAACTGCTACTCCCTCTCTTTCTCACATTACCTAGGCAGCTTTTATTGTGCTTTGTTATCTTTAAAATAGCGAATTAACACTTGCTATTTCATAAGCTTAAAGATGCATTGCCTGTAATATTGGAAGCTGATATGCAGCTCACCACATATCCAAAGGCCGGTAATAATGAACGTAAAATAGGGAAGAAAAGACAGAGTATACTGGGATGGATCATTATCTCTACATGTTGATTTATTTTAAAAGTTCCTTTCAGTGTATATTAACACCTTGGAATGTGTGCAAGTTACACCGGTGACCTTTCTGCATAGAACTCCAATGAGAGAAAAGGCAACCCATTGTTAGATGAAATGCTTTTCATTTCAAGCATGTAAGCAGTACCACACTTGGTGGATTAAAGATCGATTGATCTCAGCAAGCAAAGAACGTTGTTAAATTGTTCAGTCCTCCTTTCTGGCTTTCTCTTTTTGCTAAGAATGGAAAAAGAGAAGGCCTTGGTCTCTGTTGTCTCAGATTCTTGTACCTAGGGCTATAATTGCTGCAGATAAAACCCAAGAACAATTGGGTTGTGGTTTTCAAGTTTAATTACATTAGAGCTGCTTCTTTTGCCCTATAGTCACATTTGCAATTTGTGATTAACATATTAGTGGGAAGAAAGTAATGATAGATTGTAGTTAATGAAGCATTTTCTCTATCTGTTGTTTCTTCAATGCCTCTTTCCCGCTACAGGATAAGATATTTATGTTAATTTTTATGCATGCTGTAGTTAGGTTTCTATATATTATGTAGGGAAAGTTCTGCATTAGCTCTAATAAATAAAGTGTTCAGTTTTAAATCATGGTCTTTGCTCTACTTTATTTATTTGTATTTACTCTTTTTCATTACTGCAGGAGGAAACAGACTCAGTGTTTTATTTTTATAATAAAATACTCTTACTCTAAGAAAGAGTTATTATGCATCCTAATACTGGTATGCAAACATCATTAAAGTTTACACAGCAATGGTTTTTAATAACATTTGGAGATATTTTGGCTGATGCAGTTTTTGTGCTAATATTTTGGCTTCAAGATAAGAAAAACTGGATTTAATCCTTGCTAGAATGCTGGGAAAAACTGATGTTATTTGTAAATGAAGATTTAAAAGCATTTAACTAAGCTTCGTTTTAAGATATACATGTAGAGCCACATCTTTTTTTTTACTTTGGAATTTTAAAATATGATTTATCTTCCTTTGTCAGGTAGACTCCAGAGTTTAAAGTGAAATATATATATGTAATATATATATAATATATATATATTACATATATAATATATATATATAATATATATATATATAAAATATATACAGAAGGCTGAGAATCAAACCAGTATTGAAGCATTCTTACCAATGGCAACTGGGATAGTGTTTGAGAATGAGATTGTGGGGTGTGTGTCGAGGAAGGAGGTAAGGGTGTGGATTAAAAGTTTTGGAGGTGAGATGATAGACAAGGAAGAAAATTTTATTGTTATATCTTTCCTTATTGAAATTGCTCATTAGTTTGAATCCTTCCACTGTTGTCTGGACTCCCCATTAAAAAAGAACATGATCACTGAGAAAGTGTCTAATTTAGATGTGCTTTTGATAGCAAAATAATTATAATAGACAAATCCTTGAAAAGGAATTTCCTTGTCACATGACACTGATATACTACAAAACAGTTGTGCCATGGCAGCTTATAATATTTAAGTTTCCTGATTCTAGGTACAAAGATCTCTCTGTGAAAGCTGGCCAAATATTCAAGAATGTACTGAAATATTCAAAAGGTGTACATTTATGATCTAGAATAATTGATAAGAGTTGAATAATTGGATTGCTTCACTAGGGAAAGGCAGAAAATGTATGACTGTAGAGTTAACATTCTTGAGATTATTAAGGAAATGATAAAGATAACAATGGAGAATTCCTTTCAGTGTACTAAAAGTTAGGGAAGCAGTGGAGGCTTTTGCTGAAATTTGAAAGAGACAAATATTGAGGCAAGTGAAAAGTAATAGTCGAGTCATTTGAGATATGTGCATTTTACTCTGTCAGTTTTATTTTATTTTTAATTAATTTTTTAAAATTTCAGTAGCTTGAGGGGTACAAGTCGTGCTGGGTTATGTGGATGATCGTACAGTGGTCAAGTTTTGGCTTTTAGTGTGCCCAACACCAAAATAGTGAACATTGTATTCAATAGGTAATTTTTCATCCCTCACCTCCCTCCTGAACTTCTTTCCTCTGAGTCTCTAATGTTCATTATACTACTATGTCTGCCTTTGTGTACCCATAGCTTAGCTCCCATTTATAAGTGAGAATGTGCAGTATTGGTTTTCCATTCTTGAGTTACTTCACTTAGGATAATGGCCTCCAGTTCTACTCAAGTTGCGGCAAAAGACATTATTCCACTCATTTTTATGGCTGAGTAGTTTTCCATAATGTTTCCGTGGACTCATTTGTCAGTACCCAAATCAGTAGCATTGCTGTGCACCAACAATGACCAAGCTGATAATCAAAGAACTCAATCCCTTTTACAATCGCTACAAAAATAAACTAAAATACCTAGGGACATACTTGACCAAGGAGGTGAGGGATCTCTACAAGAAGAACTACAAAACACTGATGAAAGAAATCATAGACTATTCCTTTCCATGGAATGATAAGGAAATGGTATTTCCATTTTATTTATCCACTTATCTATTGATAGGCACTTGGATTGGTTCTATATCTTTGCAATTGTGAATTAGGCTGTGATAAAAATACACGTGCAAGTGTCTTTTTGGTATAATGACTATTTTTCCTTTGGGTAGATATTTGGTAGTGAGATTGCTGGATCAAATGGTAGTTCTACTTTTAGTTCTTTGAGAAATCTCCATACTGTTTTCTATAGATGTTTCACTAACTTATATTTCCACCAGCAGTAGGTAAGTGTTCCCTTTCTACGACATCTGCACCAACATTTACTGTTTTTTAATTTAAATTTTTTTTTTCATAATGACCATTCTGGCTGGAGTAAGGTGGTATCTTGTTGTGGTTTTAATTTGCATTTCCCTGATGATTAGTGATGTTGAACATTTTTTTTCTGTGTTTCTTGGCCATTTGTATAACTTCTTTTGAGAAATATCTGTTCATATGATTATCTCAATAGACTCTTCTGAGTCTATTCAATAAAATTCAATAAAATCCAACATCTCTTTATGATAAAAACCCTCAACCTGGTCAGGCGTGGTGGCTCACACCTGTAATCCCAGCACTTTGGGAGGCCAGCGTGGGTGGATCACTTGAGGTCAGGAGTTTGAGACTAGCCTGGCCAACATAGTGAAACGCTATCTCTATTTAAAAAAATATAAAAATTAGCCAGGCCTGGTTGGGGGGGAGCCTGTAATCCCAGCTACTCGGGAGGCTGAGGTAGGAGAATTGCTTGGACCCAGGAAACGAGGTTGCAGTGAGCTGAGATCATGCCACTGCACTCCATCCTTAGTGACAAAGCAAGACTGCCTCAAAACAAAAAGAAAAGAAAAGAAAGAAAAGAAACAAACAACCGTCAACCAACTAGGTATAGAAGAAACATACCTCAAAGTAATAAAAACCACATATGACAAAGGCACAGCCAATATAATACTGAATGGGGAAAAGTTGAAAGCATTCCTCTTAAGAACTGGACTAAGACAAGGATGCTCTCTTTCCCTACTTCTATTCAACACAGTACTGGAAGTCCTAGACAGAGCAATCATGCAAGAGAAGGAAATAAAGGACATCCATATTGGAAAAGAGGAAATTAAACTATCTCTGTTTGCCAGTGATATGATCTTGTACCCAGAAAACCCTAAAGATTCCCCCAAAACACTCCCGGATTTGATCAGTGAATTCAGTAAAGGCTCGGGTTACAAAATCTATGTGAAGAAATCAGTAGCGCTGCTATGATACAATGACCAAACTGAGAATAAAATCAAGAACTCAACCGCTTTTATAATAACTGGAAAAAAATGAAATACCTAGGAATATGCTTAACTAAGGAGGTGAATGATCTCCACAAGGAAAACTACAAAACGCTGATGAAAGCTGACACAAACAAATGGACAAACAGACAACACAAACAATGGGAAAAGCATCCCATGCTCATGCATTGGAAGAATCAATATTGTGAAAATGGCCATACTGTCCAAAGCAATCTACTTTGGACAAAGATTCAGTGTGATTCTTATCAAAATGCCAATGCCATTTTTCACAGAATTAGAAAAAACAAGCCTAAAATTCATAAGAAACCAAAAAAAAAAAAAAAAAAAGGAAGAAAAGAAAAGAAAAAAGAGCCTAAATAGCCAAAGCAATTCCAAGAAAAAGAGCAAAGCTGGAGGCATCACATTAACTCATTTCCAATTGTACTACCAGACTATAGTAACCAAAATAGCATAGTACTGGTATAAAAGTAGACACGAAGACCAATGAAGCAGAATAGAGAACCCAGACATAAAGCCAGATACTTACAACCAATTAATTTTCAACAAAGCAGACAAAAATATCCACTGGGGAAAGGACACCCTATTCAATACTTGGTTCTGGGAACACTGGATAGCCACAGGTGGAAGAACAAAACTAGATCCCTATCTCTCACCATATTCACATTAACCCAAGATGGATTAAAGACGTAAACCTAAGACCTGAAACCTTACAAATTCTAGAATAAAACCTAGGAGAAACTTTTCTGGACATTGGCCTAGGCAAAGAATTTATGCCTGAGACCCCAAAAGCAAATGCAACAAAAATAAACATAAGTAAATGGGACCTAATTAACTAAAAAACTTCTGCACAGCAAAAGAAATAATCAAAAGAGTAAACAGACAACCTACAGAATGGGAGAAAACGTTTGCAAACTATACATCCAACAAAGGACTAATATCTAGAATCTACAAGGAATTCAAACAAATAAACAAGGAAAAGAGGCCAAATAATTTTATTAAAAGCAGGCAAGTGATATGTAAATTGTATTTTTAAAATTATAACAAAAGAGTGAAATCTAGTAAATGTTATACCTCTTGGTGTTTAGGAGTGAAGTGTACTGAGGTCTTGAAATGCATCCAAAATTATAAGTTAGCTTTCAATGTTCAAGTTACCTTGAAATGTGTCCAAAATTAAGATGGATTAATTGACGGGTGGATTAATGGATGATAGAGGTATACATATGTGGATAAATAGGCAGGTGGATATGTGATTAAGCAAATATAACAAAATATTGATTCTAGAATCTAACACTAGGAACATGGCTGTTCACTGTGCACTTCTCTCAACTTTCCTTTATATTTGAACATTTTCATAATGAAATGTTCTTTAAAAAAGGAAAGCTACCTGAGACAAGGTGAGAAAATTCTTAATGCCTATTCAGGTAATACTAGCTGAAAAATTGAAAATAAACTTTAAGTGGAGATGATTGTCTTAATCCCAAAGTATTGCTGACACGGGATTTGTTAGCATGTCTCTAAGGTGATGCACCATATATTTTGGGGAAAAGCATTTCATTTTCCCTGTAAATCATGGTGCATCAATAATCATGCACTTGCAACAAGATTGTCTCTGACTTCTCTAACACTCTAGCATTGCTTATGAAGGACATTCTTCTATTTGGCCAACAAAGAATATTTCTGTCTTATCTTAAAACAGAGATAAGGCAAATCATTTTGACAGTCTCTGAGGCAAGGTAATCCCTGCTAATCTACTCATCTTTCTACCTCTTACATACAAAGAATGGGCTAGAGTTTGTCATGGGACCACAGGAATCAGGCTTTGTCCCTGAGTTTATTATTTTTCTGAGGCAGGGTCTCGCTCTGTTGCCCAGGCTGGAGTGCAATAGTGTGATCACAGCTCACTGCAGCCTCGACCTCCTAGACTCAAGAGCTTCTTTCATCTAAGCCTCCAGGGTAGCTGGGATTACAGGTATGTGCCGCCATGCCTGGCCAATTTTTTATTTTTTGTAGAGACAGAGATCTCCCTGTGTTTCCCAGGCTGATCTTGAGCTCCTGTGCTCAAGCAATTCTCCTGCCTTGACCTCCCAAAGTGCTCAGATTACTGGTGTGAGCCATGGCATCCCACCTCTGCTTCATTCTAACATACCACTTCTTCCCTGTTTCCCGGACTAAATACTCAAGGTCATTAATAGAACATTATTAAATTTGAAGACATAAAAATTCTAACTTTAAGCTTTACTAACCAACATAACATATTGAATTTTCCCCACCACAAATTTCCAATAGCTGGTAAATTAATGGTGTGTTTTGTCTTTCATCTTTAAATATTGAATGAAGCACAGTTCTGCTAGATACTCATATCACAATACATGTCTTCAGAAACAATTTATATGCCCAGTGTATCAATATTTAATTTATTTACACATTTTTTTCATCACTACCTTTATTTGAATGATGGATGTGTTGATGCCTAAGCCCATTTATCACTAAGAATGAAATAACTACCACTGGGAAACTTTTGGGAATTATATATCCATGAGCTTTTCAGAACTGATCTTTTGTGACGATGGAATGGTCACTGACCAGATCCTTATTGTAGACTCATTACTTTTGAACACATTCATCAATACCAAGGCTCGGGTGGCTGCTGGATGTCACAGATCCATAGCACTGTGCCACCACGTGCTCCCTAAAAATCTATTACATGGTTTAGACTATGTTTTCCCAAGCTTAAACCTAGGAAAATTGATTGCCTTTCCCATAAGTTTACATAATCAGAGAAACCCAGAACTGGAAAGTATTTTAAGCATTCATTCAGGTCAAACATTTGTGTTCTAATAGAACTTTCTTAAAATATCCAATACAGGCAACAGCAGGTCTTATTCTAAAATATTTCTGGAAAAAAATTATTCCATTTAGATAATGCCATGTATGTATCCAGTCCTTCACTATGTGCAGTGGTAACTAGTCTAATTTTAATTACTGCTCTTTAAGCCAGTATTCACCTAAACTTCATAGGAATGAATCCCTTCAGTAACATCCTTATAGTAGACTTCATATATTTGTAAAGCTACATAACTACATATAAAACCAATTATGTTTTTTCCTAGTCATTTTTATTTATAATGCATAGTCTAAACTCTTTTGATTTTATTTTAGAACAGCATTATTTAAACTTTCTTGCTAAATAGTACCAGAGAAGCCTAGAAACTCAAGAAAAACTACTTTTGAAATATTCTTGGGATCTAAATTTTTGTCTTTAAAACATGCCACATAACCTTTTCTCATGTCTCCATACTGAATCAATGCTTACCTTAAAACACCATATTTTAACTTATGCATTAGATAGAACACTTCCACACATCAAATGTTCAGGTAAAATAGATTATCTGTGAACAGACTTGGAATTTATTCTGCTGCTTGCCAAATCCTTGCCATGCTGCTGTTTCCTCCAATGTGGTATGTGTTTAAATCTGGGGAGCATACTCTCAGTACATCACAAGTATAGCCTATTATTATTGTTGTTGTTATTGATGATGCTATTGGTTTACCAAAAATAATTTCCTGTGATACTAAGCACATGGCTATCCAATTGAAACACTTAACTTTTACTGAGGATCTGAGCATTGTCCCATGGCATATTAGGATGTGTTACTGCTAAATACCCTTCTGAAGATGGTGACCGAATCCTTGAAATGTGTCTGTTGTGGCAGTTTGAAAGACAAGTGAACGCCAAGGTCAGGCTATCACTCAGTGAAGCCAACTGGCTGGCTGCCCACGTTTCTCATAACATTTCATTTATTTTGATGGATTCACCAAGGTATGAGCCCTGGCACTCAGGTTTGGGGCACAGAAACTTTGATGTTTATAAGCACATTAAATGGTTCCATCTCTAGGGTACAGATTCACATTAACCAAGGGCACAAAGACTAGCAAGTAAGCCACAGTGCCAAAGGATAAATTGATAAAGAAAAGAAAAATGGCCTTGCAGCTGGCAGGATGCGGGTCAGTGCGGTCAGGCCCTTCTGTCCCTGTTGGCAGGTATTTCAGAAAAGCTAAATGAACATCCAGAAGTTGCTGAGTGAGTGAACATGAAATCAGGAAAGAAAAAATCAGTTTTATGATTAAGGTATTTAGTAGTATGAACCGAATGTTTCCTTATCCATTCATTTCTTCATAGAGACTCACATATCATGGAAATCAGAGTGGGCAAGAGTTGGGAGGGCAATGATGGTATTTACACCTTCCAATTGTTGCACAGCTTCTATAGATGTATTCAGTTAACCGTGACGTAGGCAGTGCCTTTCTCTGTAGTCTGGGAACAGTTCTTTTTCTTATGATTCAACTCTGAGAAGGCAGTGCTTTCTTTTTTTCACTATTACACCATCATGTGGTGTAGGTGAGCTTCTGGAAAGGGAAGAATAAAAGAAATTATGTTAACTGTTCAGAAACTGTGTGATTTAGTAACATAGAGCTTCGTTACAGTAATGTACCCTGTAAGTGGAAAGACAGGCAGTATGGGTATTACGAAATGATTTTTTTTTAATGGAAGAGAATGATGGAGAAAGAGACAAAGGAAAGTTATGTTAGAGTCATAAACCCTGCATGATCCTGTAAAAATTCATGCTTGATCCCTGCAGCCTGAATCAACATGGACATCAGTAAATCTCTACTCTTGCCGAAGAAACAAACTAAGGCTATAAAGAAGTACTTTGTTTTTGATACTCATTGTCTTCCCTGACAGCCAAGTCAAAAGATGGAGATAAACAATGAGCGATTTTCTAACATGAAAAACAAGACAAGAAATATCTTTCTTATAAAGGAATCCACTCAGTCTGTTAGTGTATATACTTTGCCAGTCATTCCTACCTGATTCAATGAATATTTATTGATTAAAGATCTAGTCTTGTGAAAGAGACACTTGAAACTGGACAAACAGATGTAGTTTGTTAAGTGCTACCAGAGGGATAAGCCAAATGCCATGAGCAGACTAGGGAGGGATGCCTTGGGAGCCTCATTGAATCATTCTGAAGAAGTTTGAAAGGCAGTCATGGTGTGGGTGGGCATGCATTTAACTAGTAGGTTGACCTAGGAGGGAAATATGCTTCTGCTTTTAGAGATTAATGAATGTATTTATCAAATGTGTATTGAAATTCTAATGCATATCAGGCTTCGTTAACACTATGGATACACTGAGCAAAAGAAATGAGATTCAGCTCACGTACACAAGTAGGTAAATTTTTGTTTTTTGTTTTTGTTTTTTTTTGGATTAGCTTTTGTAAATTTACATCTAGAAGTACTGGTATTGTTTTGTACTCTCTCTTTCTTTTGTTTTTTGCTTTTTGGGGGGAAGGGGACTTCCAAAATGGTATTATGACTTTTCTTCTTTGAAAAAGAGTTCTTAAATTTATCTTCAAAAATCTCTTGAAAACTAGAACAAAATGAAAAATGACTAGGACTGCATTGTTAACCTTATCAATTGTGACTATCAATATGGAATCCTTACACCTATGTAGTTTATGAAGGCAAAGCCTACAGTTAGTTTGAGACAACTATTAAGCCTGACCAAATTCTCAGAATGCTTTTATGATGCTAATAAGTATCACTACAAAATGAATTGATGTTTCTCATGCAGCCAAAGTGGCAATGATTTTACAGGAGGGAGAGGCATGAGGTTGGTTATCTCTTCCTGGCAGATGGGCTGTCCCTCCCCAACCCCTCCTCCCGACACAGACACAGGTTGGTAGGATTTTTTCTACCTACAGGTTGGTAGGATTCTCTGGGAGAATGAAAATATTTTTAAAAAGCAAAACAAAGGAAAACTCTTAATTTATATTTAAATTACCCATAATCGAATGATTCACGCAAAATGAACTTTTAGAGCAAACGTCTTTTCAAATTGTATGAGGGATGGCTTATTTTTAACTAACGGTACTGACAGGACATTCTGGGGACTGCTGCAGATACTGGCTGCTCTATTCACAAAGACTAGGGGGAAGAAAAGGCTGTCTTCAGTAATGAATGGAAACACTGACTGGCTTTGAGGCGAGTAATTGCCTTACTCACCCACACAAAAATTTCAGCCAGAAAAGTCCTCCTTTAAGCAGAGCACAAATGATGTGAAATGCATACTTGCACAGATATAGTATAACTTACCTTGAGTTTATTTAATTATTCCTGGTCCATGGGATTTTTGAAAAATTGCCAGAATACTACTTTTCTGCAGATATAAATAAAAGGTCCAAATGTTGCTTAACTTCTTTTTTCCTGAATTGCATAGTATATATGTGTTAGAAATGGCTAATAACCGTCACAGAGTAGTTGAGAAGTTAAAACACACACAAATTCTTAATATTTCTAATTAAAAGCAGCATAGGAATATTGATTACTACAGTGGAAATGTAATGTGTTCTTTCTTTCCTTTTTAAATGCCTATATGGTACTTATTAACACTTTTAATGGCAAAAGCAATAAAAATAATTAAAAGCACATTTAGTTCCTGTTCTGCCTCATTTCATTAATTTCTGCTTTTTTTTCTTTTGGAGAAAAAGTTGTAAAATTGATGTCTTAGCTGTAGCTGCCTCTTTATGATATTAGATTTCTGTATGTAAAGAAGGTATTAGAAAAATTTTCTCCTGCACTCAAGGAATCTTTAAACTTAAAATAAAAAGTGATTATACCTTCTATTTTCAAGGCAGAATAAAAATGTTTTACAATGAATAGAATTCTTGATTTTCAAAGAAGTTTATTACATTTGATTTTGTCAGAGTTAATAAGTGATAATAAATAAATGTGTGGAAAAATAAACTTTTGAACTAGATCAAATGTGTTTGTTTCTATTTCAGTATTGGCTTTGATGCCTAAGAAAGCAAAATATTTATCTACTGAAAGAGCTTATGTCTTTGTGGCCCCCAGCTTTTCCTCTGGTGAGCCTTAGGAAAAATGGCACTTGCTCTGGAGGCAGGGAGGAAACTCCAGATCAGACCCAGGTTTCTGGCTTGGGAGGTGGTGGTGGTGGTGAAGGAAGTGCAGTTGGTTAAGATAAGGAGATGAGGTGAATTGCCAAATTTTCACCCAGATGCTCGGCGGCCTCTAAAGGTCGGTGGTGTTACCAGGCGCAAATTAGTAATGCTGGCTTTGAACTTACCTTGAAGCTGCAGTGCCACTTGTTCTTTTCATGCAGTCGTATTTCGCCAATGGCTTTTTACTATTTTCTTAACCTATGTTTGGCATCTTACCTGACTCCTGGGCAATTACAACCTTTAACCACTAGAAAAGGAAGTACATTAAACACACCTTGTTCATCTTGAAGAGAGAGCAGGGGAATGGGGGTTTCCTCAGCCTGGGATGACTTTCTTCTGCCTTTCAGATCTAAGCTCTTTCTGACCTGGATCTTATTTAACTGGGAAACGGCCAGGATAGATTTGATCTTTAGCGTTTCTAACAAACATCATCAGGGATCTCTCTTTCCTGAATCCTATCACATTTAGCATCTTGCACCACAGTGCTGAGTATTTTTAAAAATATAATTTTCTCTTTTGTTCTTCTGATGTTTAATACATTATTCATCTTCCCAAATAGATTCTCATTTATCTGGGTGCAATAAGTTCATCTAGAGTCCTTCCTTACCTACTTTCCTTCCTTTCTTCTTTCATGCATTCCTTCTTCCCTCCATTAGTAATAGGCTGACTCTATACTAAGACTTCAAAAATGTGCATGTTCTTTAAGAGTTTACAGATGTTCTAAAACTGACTGTTTCAGAGGAACTACTTTCCTTGACTCAATAATAGTTAATCCTCAAGAACGATTATGTATAGTTTTTTTAATTCTTCAACTTTGTGAGATGTGGTTATAAAACTTAAATTGATATAGATGAAACAGTTTATAAATAGTTTTCACTTGCATTATTTCTTGGAAAGCTCGTAAATACTGTATGCAAGTATCCCCTCCATTTTCTATGTGAGCAGCATGAGCCTGTATTATATCTACGAAGTAAATGAGTGGGGGTAGGTTTTGTGACATGCTGGCTGCATCAGATAATGCTGCATGGCATAAGCTGGGCACACACTGCTGTTCCTGTTTTATGCCTAGGAAGATGAAAGCCTTATCTTAAATCATAAAAGTAATTATTAATGGGCAGCCCAGGTGGGCAGACCAGGCTGCCAAGTTTACTATTTTCTATCGCTCTACAATGAATATTCCACATTAGGTATAGATTATCTGTTGTCAAGAGAGTTTTATATCACACTTTGATATAAAATTAAGTGTAAAAAGCTATTGAGAATCAATATTTGACATTCTAAAAGTAACTTCAAGATGATAAAGAATAAATATTATACTAAGCCCAAAAATAGTTTCTGGGTTTGTTATATTCATCTGTTTAATAAATATAAGTGGATGCGTGGTGCACCAAGAACTTAGCTTGGCATTGAAAATGCAATGAGAAGTAACTATGTTCTCTACTCTCCTTGTGGACAAGAGTCTAGTCTGTTAACTAGAAACTACTTCTAGATGATTGGGCTGCAAATATGATCCTTCTGCTATGTTTTGCCTAGAACTTTAGGCAGAACTTTAGTTCTAGGCAGAATGTAGCAGAAGATTATATATGCAGCCTGCTCATCCCCTGAAATCAAGCTTAAAGATGATGGTCTGCCTTGTTAGTAATCCGTAGAGGCTTATCAATCCCAGAAATTTTGGGCTATTGTTCCAGTCTGTAGATCACTGACATTCTTTTAGTGCTCTTTCAACCACAATTTATAGTTCCCAGGATGGGTCAACAACTGTACTCCTGGGATGTCTTTTCTCTCTGTGTTTGAGATGCAGATAGCTAGTTATCCGCCAGTCCTCACAATGCTGAAATGCATCCCTCAAGATTAAAGATTCTATTCCTAACTTTAAGGAATAAATCTGAGCTTAGTGCTTCAGTCCAAATATTTTGTGAATACTTAGTATGTGCTTTACTAGGTGTTATGGATACAGAAATGAGTGTGAAATAGTCTCTGACCTGGTAGAACTCAATTTAGACTTAAACATAATTTGGAAAATAACACGTATGGAGGAAGATTCATAAGCCTGATCATGTGTGTTAGGCATAACTAGTTAGGCTTATAATTATGCTTAAATGGATTAGATCAACCGTGTATGTAACAGAGCTAGTAAATAGATAATTAGATATTAAAATGCAGGTGTACTGATTCCGAAGCCACTAACTCGTAATGCATCTACCAAATTCCTCTGAGTGTAAGATTGTTCATTTTAGCAGTTTCAGAACTGTGTCACTCCAGGACTTAATCTGTATGGTAGGGGTTCTCCAATTTGAGTGTGCACAGGAATCATCTGGAGAGCTTGGTACAACAAAGATTGCTCAGTCCTTCCCTCCCCAGGAACTCACTAGGTCTGAGCTGGGGATGAATAATTTGCATTTATATAAACTCAGGGGTGAAGCTGACCATATTTTGAGTAGCACTGACCTTGGGGACTGTTTCCCAGACTTCAGCACATAGTAGAGCCATCTGGAGAGCCTGTTAAAAGTGGCTGTTAGGACTTCCCTGGCCCTGGAGATTCAGAAGGGCTGTGATGGGGCTGAATAATTTTTATTTTCAACAAGCTTTCAGATGATGCTGATCCTACTGGTCCATGGACTGCACTGAGCTAAGGCATTGTCTAAATAGGTAGACAGAAGTAACCTACTAAGAAACTCAATTTTGAAAAATATGAAGGCTTGATCAAAATATGTACTCTCCTTAGCATGGAGTCCTTTCATCAGAGAAATGGGAAAAAGTAAAAGTAGGAAACTAAATGGCATGAATCTCATGGGCAATTTTAAGAAGCAGTAGGCACTCTAAATAGCAACTGACTTTGATATGTATGGAGGATGTTTTACATATATTGGGAGAAGATTGTCTGTCTGAATAATGTAACTGTAGAAAGACCCTTAGCTTTGTGTCTATTTAGAGGTCAATTTCAGTTTCTATCCCTCTTTTTAAAAATATCTTGTCCGTGTATTCTGTTCCTAACATTAACATATAAGGTTGATAGAAAATATGGATAATATAAAAAGTGGTATTGAATGATATCACTAGAAATAGTGTTCATGTAAAGAAAAGATATGGGCCAGCACCAAGTTCTGGGCAACTCCACAATTTTGAGAAATTGGAAGAGTGGCTGGCAAATAACAAACAGGAAAGTATGGTGTCACAGGAGCCAAGAAAATGTTCTCGTGGGAGGCTTCAGCAGTGAAAGGATTGGAATGCTGATAAGAAATACTGTAAGATGATGGAAGAATTGGCTGTCTAACTTGGCTCCATGGAGATCACGATATTTCTCATTGGAATGTTTTGCTCAACCCTAATTGTCCTTCTTTGCAGAATGAAAGTCTTGTGGGAAAATAGAGATTAAAATATAACTAATTCTGTCTATAAATTATATAGACATATATAAGAAATATATAAATTCAATCTATAAAATAGAACTAATGTGTTTGTGTGCATGCAACATTTTTCCGTGAAATATAGTTTTGCTTCTGTATTTTTCTGTTCTTATTCATGCCACACATTATTCATTAGCACAGATTTATATTCCATTTTGATAACTGATATCCACAGATATTGTTTTCAAAATTATTATTTTATATGATTATTTTTCCATCTAAATTTTAAAATCACTTTATCAATTAAGAAAAAAGTTTTATTTGGATTTTCACTGGAATTACTTTAAATTTGCAGATTAATCTAGGAAGAAGGGACATCTTTACCACATTGAATTTTCCTTAACAGGGATTTGAAGATTCTCTACATCCTTCAAGTGGTCCTATAAATTCTCTAATAACATTTTGTGGTTTTCCCTCTTTGGGCAATAATACTTTCTAAAGACATTTAATATATTGTTTTGCTATTATAAATGCTGTTTTTATATGTTTTTATTATAGTACTGTTCATTGACATTAAGTACATTTGCGTTGCTGTGCAACCATCACCACCAGCCGTCTCTAGAACTTTTTTCATCTTATCAAACTGAAACTGCATAACCATTAAAAAGATAACTTCCCATTTTTTCCTCTCTTCAGCCCCTAACAACTACCATTCTGCCTTCTGTCTCTAAGTATTTGACTACTCGACGCACGTCGTTTAAGTGGAATGATACAGTATTTGTCCGTTTGTGACTGGCTTTATTCCCCTTAACACAGTGTTTTTAAAGTTCATCTATGTTGTAGCAACTGTCGGGATTTCCTTCATTTTCAAAGCTGCATAATACTCATACATACACACACAGGCATACACACAACATTTTGTTATTCTTTTCATTTACCAATGATCATCTGGGTTGTTTCCACCTTTTGGCTATTGTAAATAATGCTTCTGTGAACAGAGGTGTACAAATATCTGTTTGCATCACTGCTTTCAATTGTTTTGGGTATATAACCAGAAGTGGAATTACTATTGATTATTAATGATAATCCTGTTTTACTGTTTTGTTAGATATATCACAATATGAATTCCCAGCTACAATTTTGGGGTCATTTTAAATACTCTCAGTTTTCTCATGTACCATTTTCTTGATTTTCTTTAGTTTGTCATTACTTTTCTTTAGCTCTCAGAGTGTATTTAAGGCAGTTGTTTTAAAGTCTTTCTCTAGTAAATCTGAAGCCTTGTTTCTTTAAGGTTGGTTTCCAGAGATTTATTTTGATCTTTTGAAAGGGCTGGATTTCCCTGTTTCTTTATATGCCTTGTGATCTTTTGTTGAAAATTGGGTGTCTGAAAAATCAGACACTTCTTCCAGTCACTGTAGACTGTGTGGAGGAAGATGTTCTCTAAATAGCCCGGTATGAAAGTTTAAGATTTTCTCAGGCATTTTCTAGGTCTGTGTCTTCCCTGGGCCTGTGTGTGTGGTGTTCTCTCCCAATTTCCCCATAGACGGGGCTGCTTTTATTTATTTATTTATTTTGAAGGCTGCTTTGAAATGTTTTATTATCCGTCCCTAAGAGTTTCACCCCTGCTTCTTCGTGAAATCTTGGCTGTTCCTCTGTACTACTCTTGCCTTAACAAACATCTTGCCCCCAGTTTCTGCATGTCAGCATACTCTTGCAGTTTTCACAAACTATGTTACCCATCACAGTTTTGCATGGCTTCCAAACTGAGATTCAAACTATATATTCATTTTCGTCTGAGAGCTCCAATTGAGGCAAGACAGAAACCAGTCCCTCAGGCAGCCCACAGACAGGCCAGAACTTTGCAAAATAAGTTCCACTGCCCTCCTTCCTTCCTGAGAGAAAAATACTGGAAAGTGGGCTACTTTTTTTTTTTTTTTTTTTTAACTGCACTCACTGTTCCAAGGTGGCGCAAGCACAAGCAATAATGCCGTGAAATGTCCTACCTTTTTCACTGTGGCTTTTTCTTGATGGGGCATTCACTTGGTTGGAAAGCAGTGAATTTGGCTGGTTACCAGAGCTCCCAAAAAGCTGTTTTAGTGAGTCGCTAGTAGTTTACTTGATGATCCTGTGGAGGAATGAGGACCTGGAGCTTTCTAATCTGCCATCTTTCTGATATCAAATCTGTTTGTTTGTATTTTGTCTTTTTTAGTAGCTTTATTGTAGTTTTTAACCCTAAATGTGTCCAGAATCACAGTTGCTTAGTCCTGTCTTAGACCTCTAAATCGTGATGCTAAAAGTGTAAAACTAACACCACACAATATATTAAGGATAGCTGTCATACTTATTTTGTTTCTAATTTACTGTTAATTCATCTAGGAGTGTGTATGAGTTCGTTTTGACATTACTATAAATAACTATCTGACACTAGGTAATTTATGAAGAAAAGAGTTTAATTGACTCCCAGTTCCACAGGCTTAACAGGAAGTATGACTGGACGGCCTCAGAAAACTTACCATCATGGTGGAAGGCAAAGGGGAAGCAAATACATGTTACCATGGCGGAGCAGGAGAGAGAGTGAGTGAAGGGGGAAGTGCCACACGCTTTTAAACCATCACGTCTTGTGAGAACTCACTCACTATCATGAGAAGAGCAAGAGGGAAATCTGCCCCCCGTCATCCACCAGGCCCCTTCTCCAGTTGATCCCACTAGGCCCCTTCTCCACCATGATATTTTGGTAGGGCCACAAATCCAAACCATATCCAAGTGTGCACCAATAATCGTAATTATTGGGGAGTGATAAATGTGAATTGCAACTCATATAATTGCGAGTTCTTTTATAAACAAATTAATTGTAAAAAAACAAACCCAAGCTTAGGCAACATAGCAAGACCCCATCTCTACACAAAATATATAGAAAAAAAGTAGCCAGGTATAGTGGTACATTTCTGTGGTCCCAGCTACTTGGGAGGCTGAGGTGGGAGGATCACATGAGCCCAGGAGGTTGATACTACAGTGAGCCATGATTGTGCCAGAGCAGGACCCTATCTCAAAAACAAAAACAAGAAAAACAATCCCGGAACAAAATAAATAAAACAAACAAAAAAGAGCAACAAAAGACACTTGCTTGGCATTTCTAACAAGCTTCCAGCTGATGTTGATGCCTTTGTACCATAGCTCAGATTCCAGTATGATTTAGCATATTTAACCTTATGTAGGTCAACAGCATAAACCTATAAAGAGTATAATTTTGAAAAATGTGTAACTTGTAATAAGTTATAAAAAAATTACTTTACTCAGCATAGAGTCCTCTAATCATAGAAGAAGGATAAATGAGGAAACTGTGAATGGCATGAGAGCAATGAGCAATTTTAAGAAGCAGTAGGCGGAGTAAGTATTAAGTGCAACTTAAATATAAGAAATAATCTCTATGATTATATTTTCTTTATTGGTATTCTTAACTGATGTCTTGTAGGAAACCATGACTGTTTCTCCTAATACTAGACAATAGTCCATAATGTTTGTTATTTATACTAAACTCTTACATTCAATTGACTAAAGTTGTCTTTAGTATAATTACATTTATTTCTTTAAATTGAATTTGAATTTTCTTTTTGTGGTATTTTTTTCAGACATACTATTCAGATGACACGAACTTAATAAAAATTTAGAATTTTTTTCTGCCTTCAATATGTTATAAAATATTTTAAATAGTGCAAAAGTTATTTGTTTCTTGGAGGCAAAAATCAGATTTTGCCTTCTTCTTTTGGAAACTCCTTGAAAGTTATCTCAGTTCCTTTTATGCTTATTAATCTAATATAGCTTGTAAATGTTGTCAATTATTTTTTCCAGAAGGAAAAGAAATGCACATTTTGTGGACATTTCCAAATACCTACATGTGTATTTTTATACACATTCTCTACTTTTAAAAAAACTCCTCTGATTCCTTTTTCATTCTAGATTTTGTATAGTTACATAATCCCAGCATATCCAGCACCTTTTTTATAGGATGTTGATTGAATGTGCATAGTGAATGTTTTATATCAATATAAGAAAATTAATAATTTTTTTCTTTATTTCCCATAGCAAAATTTTATGATTTATTCTTTTACCTTTATTTTTTTTAACCTTGTATTGTATTATTGCCTAGAAAATTCTTTCTCAGACTTTATGCTCACTGGGAACAGGTCTTATTTTAATTTGTATTCCCAGCTTCATCTTGTGTGGTATCCCAAACCTTAACACACTCCAGTACATTTTGTTAAATGGTAAATGGTATTATTTAAGGAAATTTAAATTGAATTTCTATATCTCAAGGCTTTTCAAGCCAGAGCTGGCTAAACATTTCTTAGGTGTGTTGTAAGAGCATGTTTCTTTAAGATGGAGTTTATTCCAGGTATCTTTTAAAGTTTTAACTCTTAAATGCTGTTTCTTTAATATCATGAGACAATATAGAAACTCTTAAAATATTTTAACTTCCTTTAGGATATTTTCGGATTATTCAGCATAAATGTCTTTGAACTATTTCAAACCTTTCCATATTTGACATTACTTACCGTTGAAAATATAAACACCATCAGTAAAATAAAATAACTAAAAGACAGTTCAAACTTTTGAGCTATTTAACAGAACGTGAACTGATGGAAGAGGAGACCCCATTTTTTTTTTAATTTTGAGGAACTTTATTGAACTTCTTTGAGAAAACATTAAGATTCTATGTGAAGATGTATTGAAGCAAGTCAATATAGGGAAGGGATAAAAGAAAGTGAGTAAATAAGCTTTTGAGTGATTGGTGTGATTGGGTTAAGAATGACGCTAAGAACGAACGTAAACAGTGTTCACACTCTAGGGCTAAAAACCCAAGTACATCTTTTCACACGGAAATACAGATATTTTTAAGAACCTTCCTTGTGCTTCTTAGAAAGTAGACAGGTGGTTGGAGAAAATCTATTTTTGTTAAAACACACCCACATTCAATCTAGATGTATAATTTCAATATCTCAATGATTTTTCCTTGTATTTTCTCTAAATGTCATGCTTTTCAGACTATTTCAATATAGATGGATTATATTTCTTTTCAGAATACATATGGCAGATAAATACATTGACGTTTTCCAAAGGAAAGTACAAATGGAATACTATTTCTTAAAAAAACAAATTTTGGTATCCTTTACTTCCTTATGAAGAAAAGCAAATCCGCTGGTTAAGATTTTTTCTTTATTTTGCCAAATAAAATGGTGTATTACCCTTGCATTTTTCCTACTTATTATTCCCAGCATTTTTCTCCTTGCACCTAAACAAATAAAAAATGAATTTGGACTTAGATAAATTATCTTTATAGTGGTAAGCCTTGTCTGGTAAACTAAACTGTTCCCTGAAGGATGATGAGTAATTTGTTGCTGGTAGATGTAATGTAAATAGTTAGGTTACAGACTCAGTTTAGTTTGGACTATAGCACTAACGTGTCTCTAGGCAATCACAATGTTTAATATGATCTGACGTTGAACACAAGCGTTTCAACTGATGCATCCATCCACCGGGGGGCTCATTTACAAAAGTAGCACCATCTATGGATCATTTAATGTTTGCCCCTAAGTTTCTAGACCCCCTCCTTGTGATATCATAATCTAACATGCACTTTGTTCTGTGACCAAAGCATCCAGATGACCATGTTGCAAGTTCCTAACATGTTCCTTGTCTAAGGCTGCTGCCCAGGATCATACCTGTTCTGTTGGTCTGGCATGTGCAATTGATTGCTTTCAGATGTTGGGTGGTAGAAAGCCATCAAAAACAAAGTCAATCAGGATCACTTTCACCACCACTTAATTAACTGGCTAATTACTTTCTAAGCACCTATTAAGAGAACAAGAGATTGTTAACTGACGTAAGGAATCTAAAATTGTCTAAGGCTGGGTGTAGTGGCTTATGGTTTTAATCCCAGAGCTTTGGGAGACTGACACAGGAGGATTGCTTGAGGCCAGGAGTTTGAGATCAGCCTGGGCAACATAGAAGACCTCGTCTTTACAAAAAATAATTTTAAAAAATTAACTGTGTGTGATGGCACTATGCCTGTCATCCTAGCTACTCAGAAGGCATAGGCAGGAAGATGACTTGAGCCCAGGAGTTTGAGGTTTCAGTGAGCTATGATTGTGCCATGGGACTCCAGCCTGGGTGACAGAGCAAGACCCTCTCTCTAACAACATTTTTTTAAATTAAAAAAAAAATAAAATTTTCTAAGATGTGATTCTTACATTAAGGAGTTAATAACTTTAAACCCAACAGGGATATGAGGGATCTTTATACATGGTTTTAAGCAACACCAACACTACCATTCACCATCATCATTATGACGATGATGATGTCATTCATTCATGACATAATGAATGATGAGAAAGAGTACAAGTATATTGAGGGAGAACATTCCAAACAGTTCACTTAGTGTAAACTTTCTTATCATATACTTAGGTAAGAGTTTTTTTTATGAGTTATTTTATTTTAATCCTTCCAACATTTAAAAATAATTGTCATTATTATTCCAGTTGTTCAGGTAAAAATTTTGAGGCTCAGAATAATTTAGAAGTGTGTTTGCAGTCTCCTAGCTCTCAAGTAGCGGAGTTGGATTCAAACTTACTGGTACAGTGTATTTTAGGCACTTTTCTTTCCAGAGAAAGGAAAGTCATATCTGGCTTGCATAACTAGGAGAAATTCCCAAGAGAAGAGACATTTGAGCAGGATGTTGAATGACTGACAGTGTCTATAACTGGATGCATATGAAAGGGGTTGGATGGAACAGAATTAGGAATGGAATGGTGATGTGAAGGTTGAAGCATCTGAGGCAAACGTAAGGAAATGGTAATCAGAGCAGCATGAAATACAAGATTCTTTCTCAAAAGCAGATTGTGCTGGCTGGGGAAACGGGAGCGTGGATACAGATAATTATTCTTCTAGACTGACACATTTGTGTTTGATTCTTTAGCCAGTGTAGGGATGTTAAAGAACTTTGGAGAAAAAAAGTAACGTAAGTAACACCATGCTTTAGAAATGTAATGGTAATAGAATATAAGGTGGATGGAAAGGGGAGAATTATATTACATTCATTAAGTCAGCAGTTCTCAAATAGGGACTTGTATATGCCTTGAGCATTGATGAGTCATTTCAGAGGAACCACACATTCTTATGTGCATCACTTTATGAACAGAAAAATATGTCTCGCTCAAATTTGTTTTACCACTTTTTAAATGGTGGACTTCCGTAGCCAGCTGTGACTTGGAAAATATACATTTATTTGCAAACATTACTGACTTCAGGATAGCATTACTGAATTCCACATATTACTGTGAATTTTCCCAAATAAAAAGTATTGATGTACAGTTATGTATGGGTCCAAATAACTTATTGATTTATTGATTCTTTAATGTACTTGTTCTAGAAATATTTATCTTTACAAGTGGCATTATAGTGGTTAAGTGTGATCTTTATAATCAGATTTTATGAACTAGAACTCCAGCTCTCCTACTTATTAGTGATAAAAGGATATGTTACTAATCTCTTCAAATCCCGTTTTCTTATCTGCAAATTTGTGAAGATGACACTAATCTTACCAGATTATTTTGAGGATTATGTGAGATTGCAAATCTAAAATATTTCAATACCAGACACATAATAATATATATAAGCTATTATTACTCTTTGTTAGACTATGTCTGGTAGACATTACATGGTTTTATCATATTCACAAACTGAAAAACACAGTCAAAAGTCATTTCTCAAATGGTTTGTCATGAGTTGGAGTGACAGCATATCAAGATCATAATCAGTAAATTTCAGTTTATAATTTTTTCTTGATTCTCTTACTGAATTGAAAAGTCAGTTATAATTGCTACATTTCTATTCTTTTTCCTGTTCTTACATTGTGAAACAATAATATGTGCTTGCTTCTGTTAGAGTTAATAAATAGGAAAGTATTTATGGTTCTTGGCCCAGATACCCATTCGCTGTTGGTTACTGCCCTTTTTTTCACTGTCTCAGTTCTTGAGATGAGTATTTCCCAACTTTCAGACCACTGTAGGTTTTGATTTACAGCAGCAGCCTCTCTCGTTCTGTCACTCTACCTTCTGAGTAGCCTTGAAGTAGGGCATCATTATAGAGAATCAGCAATCATCACAGCACACACATTCTAACAAAGAAACTCACCTAGAAACTTGCAGGAACGTTGCATTCCAGATAAGGGTTTATGGTCACAAGGCAACTATTGACTGTCTTTATATCACTTCTCTAAAGCTGATAATTTGGGGGACCCACTGTATTGATTTACGTGGAAAATATGAATGAGAATCCTAAAGTGCAAGAGGAATAGAAGTGTTGGATAATAAGCATTATTTGAAAAAGAGGTGTGGAGCAAGTCATTTAAGAAAAAGTGGAATTGATCTCTCCTGGATTTGGTTTATCAGAATGAAAGACTAACTTAGAGCGATTTATCTGAGAAGGGAAACAACAAACAACAAAATGCCTCCTATGCATGGTTTCTTCTTGTATTTATTTAGAGTCTAGTTCTTTAAATCTGCCGGGTTTATGGCACAATTCAATACCAAAATAACTATATGAATATTGACATCAATGTTTTAATCTGTGAGTCACAGGAACTCATGTACAAATTTATTAAATGTTTTCTATTCTGTTTATATTTGTTGACAACAAAGCGGCTCTACGGCTTCTGGTGTGATTTGTGCACATGTAGTGAGCTGGATATCTTCATATTTTGTTTCATTTATCACCAAATCTGTTAGCTATTTCTAAATAAAGAGGCTGTATTGAGAAAGGATGAAAAGCAGTTGGGAAATGGAGTAGGAAGAAAAAAATGAGAAGCTCAGTGTTTTATAAACTGTATTGCAAAAAAAGCTGACTTTCATTTCAAATCATTGTGGTCTGTGCTTTGCTTTGGTGAATTATGCCCACACATATCTAGTCAACACAGGAGAGCACAGATCATTGGAGGAATGAATAGCTTTACCACATGCATCGTGAGAGATGTACAAGTTTATTTTCCCCATCAACCATACCTTTTTCCAATATCATGCATGTTGCCCAGCAAGACAGTGTCATTAACCACTGGTATAGAAGGACTCATTTAATTTAGTTAACTAAATCCTGTTTTTTTTTTTTTTTTTTTTTTATGAGTGGTGGGAGAACTGTTTAAAAAAGACCTGTTTGGTTAACAAATGTGCGCTGCTCTGCAGTGAGGGACATTTTGAATGATTTTCCCATTTCTAGTCTTTGCCCCATCCAGTTAGAAAGTAGCCCGTAGTGCTTCAAGAACATTTACATTTACATCTTTATTGTAGGTTCCATTGTAGCAAGAATACATGTAAATGGACTCGCTCTATTTCAATAATTATTTTGCAGAGTATTTTGGCTATCATCCTGGTGTTTATAGTCAATGCATTTTTACACCATCTACATTTTGGACAGCAAGCATAAAACGCTGCTGGTTTATCTCACAGAGAGAGCAGATTGTCCCCCAAAAGATAGCCATTTATAATATGTGCACTTTTGAATAATTAAATGAACTACTGAAGAGGAAATGGATTCTAATCAGCTTTCAAACTGTGATTGTGCCATGCACTGAATCATTCCTTTATGAATACATTTCTCTTGGAGCATGAATAATTACAAAACTTTTTTTTCTATCTCGGTAGGAACTGGGAAGTAACAGCCCTCCACAGAGAAACTGGAAGGGAATTGCTATTGCTCTGCTGGTGATTTTAGTTGTATGCTCACTCATCACTATGTCAGTCATCCTCTTAACCCCAGGTAATCTGTCTTTATTCCTCTCTTATGATGGATGGTATTGTGGATGATAATTTCGCATTCAAATGCCTTAAGAGGGTAGCAATATGTGGTATCTTAGGGCACATTAGCATGGGTTGGAATTTGGAAAAAAAGCATAATCAGACATTTTGCAAATGGCACAGTAATTCTGCAGTTCAAATATCATGCAGGATATTTTGGGGAAGCTGAAAATGTAAAATATGTAAGTTGAGAATGCCAAGGAGATTTTTGGTCTCCATTGCCACTTACAGACTTACTATGTGTTAGTTTGATAAATGCAGAAGACATTTGACTTTTATTGTGGGTTGAAGATGAGGGAGTGGCATCTGGAAGTTTCTATATATAGATGATAACCCAACTGTATGGAAATGGAAAGACAGGATTTGATGGAAAAAGATCAGATCGAAAGAGAGTGATCTAAGCCTCTAAATTTGGACACCTATTTCTTGTGTCTTCTTTTCCTTTCTTTCCTAAAGTTTTTACATTCTAAGTTTCTACCCTATCTAAAGAAACTTTGCAAATTGCCCCTGCAATGATTTTTGGACTGTGTTCTTCAGATTAAAGAGTTTAATACTAATATGGAAATTATCATTGTGCTTCTTTCTGGGGACTATTTCAATACCCAGGAGATTCATTACTCTTTAGTAGGTACTAATAAGGAAGGCAGAGATAAAGGGATCACTTTTAAACTCCTTCAGTTGTCTTCCAGATACATTTAGCAGTTGCTGCAACCCACCCACCCAACTGTTTTTCTCAAAGACCAAACACCCACATATGACACAGTGTTATGAAAAATAGTCATTTCTGGGATAGGATTGAATGAATCCAAAAATCAACTGATATTTTTAAATTATAGCCTGTTGTTGAATGCTATTTATTTCCACTTCAGGTTTGTCTTAGTTTTGTTATTTTATGAGCCCCTTAAACACATTGAACTTATTTCCTGATGTACAAAATATGATTAACAATAACTGTTTTTCAGAGTCATTTAGTCAAATAATTTTGGTGACTAATTATACAAATGGCAGTATCAATTGTTCCAGTGAGACACTTCGTGAGATATACCATCTTTGAAAAATACTGACATTGAAATAAATAAACTGCCAAAAATGCAGTTTTTAGATGTTAGTTAACATGTGGAGAGGTTGAGAAAGAAATTAAGGGAGCTACTAGGGAGGAAGGAGGAGAGAAAGGTAATTGGAAAGGAAGAAAGAAAAAATTCCCTGGTAAAAGTTGGCTTATCCGGCATTCTCCCCAGGAACCTTTTCTTAACTGCCTCATTTGTACATCTGCAGTACAATGTCATTGAGCAATGTGATGGCTCTAAGTTGCTGCATAATGCCAAGAATCATTGTTACAGGAAGATGAGTTTCAGCATGGTGTTTCACTTAAACACAAGAAGTTTAACATAATTATAAAAAAAGAATGAGTCGACATTGCTGCCTTCTATTGATGGCTATTAGCCAGATGGAGGTATTCATGTCATAATCCCTGTGTATTTCTCTTGAACTCTTTTTCTTTCATCCTGGTTCTAGCATCCTTGGCCCAGTGATTCACTTTCTCAGGTTTTCTTGTTACTCATTGAGGCCATAGTGATATTTTGGTGTCCTTGAGAGTTTGATACAACAAAGACCACATAGAGTGAGGCACTCACTAAGTTAAACTTCTGCTCAACCCTTTTCAATTTTTCCCAGTATAAAACCACAGTGATGAACCATAATTGAGTTCATTTTGTCCTGCACTTATTCATTTGTTAAAGCAAGAACAAGCGTGACATACCTGAGTTTGAGTTCTGCCTCTGTAATACAGTAGTTTTGTGCAATTTGGCAAGTTATTTAACCTTCTCTCTCACTTTACTCATCTGCATGATGGGTATAATATTTAGTTCCAACATTGCAGTGTTATTATGGAGGTAAAATGAGATAATGTAGTTCAAGAGTTTATTTAGCATGCTGCCTAGCACTGCTGCTGCTATTCCTTTGATGATTGCTATTATTCAGTACTTATTGACCACCAGAAACCATGACAAGCAGTGTTATATAAAGAATGTTCCCCAGAAAAGGTATAAAACCTCTCAGGAATATACATCTTCTGTGACTTCAATTTTAGTTATGACAAACGGAAAGGGACAAAATATTTAACCTGAAGTTAGTCTCCTGGGGTCAAATTATTCATGCATTCATTCATCCCATAGGTAATTGTGGAGTTCTCACCACATTCTAGGTGCTGTTGTAGTTGGCCCTGCACTTTCGCTATTTTATAACTTTCACCTCCAATCCCGTTACACAAATACAAACATTTAGAAAATACACATATTTAGAACACCACAGCCCCCCAACTCAGACTTAATTTCATATGATATTAATCATATAAATAGAAGTGGCATTTATTTATTTATTTATGTTTTGTTTTAAGATGGGGTCTCGCTCTGTTGCTCAGGCTGGACTGCAGTGGTGCAATCATGGCTCACTGCAGTCTTGAACTTCCGGGCTCAAGCGATCCTCCCACCTCAGCCTCCTGAGTAGCTGGGACCACCATGCCTGGTTATGTTTTATTCTTATTGTTATAGAGATAGGGTCTCTCTGTGTTGTCCAGGCTGGTCTCGAACTCCTGGTCTCAAGCAGTTCTCTTGCCTAGGCCTCCCAAAGTGCTGGGATTACAATCATAAGCCACCACACCCAGCCCACAATTATTATTTAGATTTACAGTTTACCAAGTGCATTTCACATACTACATGTTCAAATGTCTTTGGATTTCACTATTATTATTGGTAGGGACATTATAAAATAAAAAAGAAAATAATAATGCTGGAGTGGAAAAGGTATTGCTGTAGGAAGCAGACACCCTACTTTATACAGAGAGTGTTCTATACTTTCTGCAAACTCAATGCCCTCAAGTGCCTAGAAGATTATGTAAATTGATCAAGTGGGCAAGTATAACAACTAGTGGTTAGAAATTTGAGTTGTGACCCAGCAAAATGGCAGTGTAGTCGCATGGCCTTTACGGTGGGCTCAACCCAAACATGTCAGAGTAATACATAAGGCCAGAAGACTAATAGTTTGCAGCTCAAGACTTGAGTCTTCAGCCTGGAAGAACTTTTAGAAATGATCTAGTCTTGCCTCTCTCATCAGACAGGAAGAATATCTGAGTTTGTTTAACTTTTGGGGTGAGAACAAGAATATCCATCAAGGCCATGTACACTCTTGATTTTGCGTGTGTCTGGCTGTGTACGTCTGTGGTCAGCCTGCAGTGCTCCAACTGCACCAAGCCTTTCTCTTCTAACCCTCAGGCTTGAGTTCTCTCAGCTGTGCTAAAACAGAGCCATAAAGAAAACCTCCAGCTGGAAATTAAACATGCAGCATCATCCCTCTGATCTTCCCTCTGTCCACCAATATGTTCTCAAGGCCTAGCTTTCTAAGTAAAACCAGTCAAGCAGGTGGAAACTTTCAACCAAGTAGAGGAATCTATGTCAGGAGGGGAAGCTTCTGACTGTGGAAATTCAGCAAGACACTGGGCCTTTTAGGACAAGGCCTGCCTCTAGAACAACTCTTCCAATAAGAGTGGCAGTCAGGCCGGACGCGATGGCTCACACCTATAATCCCAGCACTTTGGGAGGCCGAGGTGGGAGGATCACGAGGTCTGGAGTTCGAGACCATCCTGGCCAACATGGTGAAACCCCATATCTACTAAAAATACAAAAAATGAGCCGGGCATGGTGGCATGCACCTGTAGTCCCAGCTACTCGGGAGGCTGAGGCAGGAGAATTGCTTGAACCTGGGAGTCAGAGGTTGCAGTGAGCCCAGATCGCACCACTGCACTTCAGCCTGGTGACAGAACGAGACTCTGTCTCAAAAAATAAAAAAGAGTGGCAGTCATAAATTCATATAGCTTTTATAATTATACAACCCTGGGCTAGTCACTAACTTCTATGGCTTCAGTGTTTCATTGAAGAAAAGGACATCTTTGGTTTGCTAAAATGTGAGGTGATCTCTTGAAGTGTATTATAACTCTAATGTCTATTATCTAATATATTAATAACAGCTACCAATGATAATAATGCCTTGTTTAGTGACAAATATAGCAACAGATGAAATATGGTGGGCTCTTTCACTAAGATTTTTCTACCATGAAAATATATTTAGTGGGTTGGTTTTGAAGATGAAAGCATACAAAAAGTTATTTAGTCAAAGAAATGTTTTAGAAACTGTTTTACTCAAAATAGCACACAATTTGCAGGTAAGTCTAAGGAATGCAAGCCTATAACCAGAGAAACACATGTTCACTGTAATTTCGGTTTGATTGCAAATTTTATTACAGAAGTAGTTTGACACATGTGCCTTAATTTCTAAAATTATCAGACTCTTCCTTGCCTTGTGAAGAGAAGTCCTAACTATTTTTGAAGAATAGGCTATTCAAGCATTTCATTTTATAAGTATTTCTGAAAGGAACAAATTATTCATTCCATTTTTTTAATTACAGGGTGGACTTATTCAGATGCATTGATGAAGCCTACATTATTTTTTCTATTGAGTTTGTTTAAAGAGAAGGAGTTTACCCACGTTTATTTTGAGAATATGTTAACTATAAGATCAATAATTATACTCTACAAATATATGAGTGTACATTAATGCTTAAAGTTGTAGAAATCAGTCTAGTAAAGGTATGCATCTACTTTGCAATCTTGTTTTTACATTTAATATGTAGAATGAGAAGGAATATACTTGGGAGAACATTTTGTGCAGAATAGAATTACCAATTTTGGCCTGTTTTAAGAACAAAGGTGCATATTTTATGAGTCAGAATGCAGTTGATACAGGATAGTCATCAGGCTCTTTAATCCATCTGCCATACTGAAATAGCCACCTGCGAACTGTGTATACTCCACAGTTCTTCAGCAACAATGGCCTGTTGCCCTTTGACTGTGTCTGTAATCGGTCAATGCCGAGACAGAGTCATCACACTGATTATCTGTCATGCTGACTAAGGGTAAAACGGGAAAGCACCAAAATGTGGTCTTCATTGTTAGCTCTAGCTCCTGTTTCTTTTGGAAACTTCCCAATTACCCTCTGTTACAATAGTGGGATTCATTCCTTTAGTACACTTTTTAGGTGTGCACAGTAGATGGTCTTTGCAGGTTTATCAGAATATAAACATAACCAAGCATTGATGTGGGAATCATGAGAGCTCTGCTTGATCTCAGTTAAACAAGAATTTAATGGTAATTTTTCAGTTCCGCAATAGAGATGTCTTTATTTTCACTTCTAGAAGTGTCTCTAAGATTAAGAATTTTAAACTAATTTCATAGGCCATGTTGGGTAATAACTTACCCAGGTCGATACTGCCACAGTGATGTTGATGATTAGATAAGTCTTTAATATCAGATATGTGTTACATCCATGAAGCTATGCTCAATTAGTTCATTTGAGTCAAAACAGAGAATTAAGCAAGTGAAGGAAACTAGAGAAACATAGGCAGCCCTATTCAGAAAAATCAACAAAAGAAACCAAAAACTAGAAGACAGCATTTAAGGTATTATGCCTTTTTTACATCAACCTAAATGTACAGTGCACACAATCAACTCATTTAACCCTCATAACACACCAGTTTAAAGGAAGTAGAGCAGTTTTCTACATAACACAGCTAGGGCCAATAGATTTGGATGACTTCAGCAGCTAGTTTGTGGAGAAAGTATAGTAGATAGAGTGACTAAATTGACCTTGGTATTCGACTGACTTGGATTCATCTCCTAGCCTTACTATGTGCCCACAAATATGATGTTGAGGTAAAGAATCCTCTCTGTTCCTATTGTTAAGACAACAGATTAAAAAAAAAAGATTTGACCCTTTGAAAGAGGGCTTTAAAAATATTCATATGCCTGCACACACACACATGCACACACACACATACACACACACACACACACATACATCTATATGTAAAACTCATTTCCTAGAAAGCATTTAATAAAATTAAGGACTTTATTGGACTGATGACAGCTGATCTGTTATTGTTATGCAAAAACTCAAAGTGAATTCATTCTAGTTACTATTTTGCTCTAACAAAATGACAGCTCCTGGTTATAGTTAGTTAAAATGTTATGTTGTACTATATTGCAGACAATATCTTGGCATCTGTAATTTATTAGGTGTCATTTAAGCACCTGACCTGTGTTTTAAAATGTCAAAGCAATGATTAAACTATCCCCATTATGCATTATGAGGGGAAAATAATGTTTTACCAGATTTTTAGATTTGTACTACTTGTAAACATCGGCATCAATCAAGATGCAAATTGTTTATTTTGTTGAATTAAAGCAGGAGATGTGCTGTATTGATAGGCATAGTCTAATGTGTCTCTGCTTGTTTTTTTCAACAACAGCACAGATTGAACATGGATTTCCATGTAGCATTACCCAGGCATAATCAGGCTGCAGAGAAAACAATGACAGATTCTAACAGTTTCCCCCTGGATAATATGGATTGTTGTTGCTTTTTTAAATAGATTTATCTCTGATGTTGAATAAAAAATAATTTCCTCTGGCATTAACGGAATAAAAACAGTTACTTTTTTGTCTTTCCTTTATAGTTTCATTTCTATATTTAAGCCATATGTGATTCCCTTAGTTACTCTCATAATGTTAGAGTGTCCAGTCAGATAAATGATGAATTTGGTTTACATTATAATGTGTTTAGTTTTACAAGAGTCAGAAGAGAACCTATAAACATTTATGTATATCTTTTTCTTGCCAGATGTTGTACTAAGTGCTTTACATGTACTATTTTTTCTCACATCACTAATATTGCATAGATACTATTCATTTATTTACATTCTAGAGTATTCATCTGAGTCTTACAAGTTGAAGTAAATTGACTAATTTCACACAACTAGAAGGCAGAGATGCTCGATCACTCTCTCAGGCACTTTTAGCTTTGACATGTGTCATAATCCTTGTAATATAAGTTAAGACATATTCTTGTGCCCATGGATGATAGGGGCAAAAAAATATTTTAGAAAAATAAATTTCCCCTTTATTCTTTCCTATGATTTTTGTAATTAGTAAACTAATTCTATGTATTTCTAAAAGGGAAGGCATAGCAGAGAAAGAATTCAGCTGAGGATTGAGGTGTAAAAATTTGGACAAGGGGCAGAAAGGGAGGCAGTGACAGAAGTGGGAAGTTGAAAATCGTAAGTGTAAATTCTGTATGTATTTTTATTTCTGGTTTCATAATTTTTCAGAACTTCAAATACCCATGATAAAATATAAGTTCATATTTTCCATCCTAAACCACATTATATAAAATTGTGTGTCATTATACAACTTTAATAGTTTGTCATATATTTTATTTCTTCTTCCTAATAGAAATTTGATTTAGAAATGTGATATTCTGGCCTCTAATGTATGATTAGATAGTCTGGTCTCTGAGAAGTCAGGTTTCCATAAAAGCGAGAGTTATGGTGGGGTTTGGTGGCTCATGCCTGTAATCCCAGCACTTGAGGAGGCCAAGGCAGGAGGATCACTTGAGCCTAGGAATTCAAAACCATCCTGGGCCACATAGTGAGACCCCATCGCAACTAAAAGTTTTTTAAAACAATTAGCCAGGTTTGTTGGCACATGCTACTCAGGAGGCAGGAGGATTGCTTGAGACGGAGAAGTTGAGGCTGTAGTGAGCCATGATCATGCCACTGCACTCCAAGCTGGGCAAGAGAGCATGACTCTGTCCAAAACAGTCTTCCATCTAGTTCCAAAACATATTCATCACCCCAAAAGGAAACTCTACCCATTAAGCAGTTGCTCCTCATATCCCACCTCAGTTGCTCCTCATATCCCACCTCCCTCATCCCCTGGCAATCACCAATCTACTTCTGTTCTCTGAAGATCTACTTTTTCTAGATATTTCACATAAATGGAATCAAATAACATGTGACCTTTAGTGTCTAACATCTTTCACTTTGCATGTTTTAGAAGTTCATCCACCAAGTCACTTGTAACAGTGCTTCATCCCTTTTTATGGCTCATAGCAATCCATTGTATGCATATTCCAGAGATTGTGCTACTGTGAACCTGTGTGTATTTGTTTGAGTCCATGTTTTTAGTGTTTGGGGTTATATACCTAGGAATGGAATTGCTAGATCCTATGGTAATTTCTGTGTTTAAATGTCTGAAGAACTATTTGCCACAGCAGCTGAACCATCTTACATTCCCAACAGAAATATTCATGTGTTCCAGTTTCTCCAAATTCTTAGAAACACTTGTTCTTTTCTTTTTTTTTTTTTTCAATTATGGGCATTCAAGAGATATGAAGTAGTATCTCATTTGGTTTTAATTTGCATTTCCCTAATAATTAACTATGTTGACTGAGTATCTTCTTATGTGTCTATTGGCCATTTATATATCTTCTTTAAAGATAGATCTATTTAAGCCTGTTGCCCATTTTAAGGGACTTGCTGGTTTTACTGATAGTGAGTTGTAGGAGTTCTTTATTCCGGATATTAATCTCTTGTCAGAAACATATTTTCATATACTTTCTTCTATAATGTAGGTTGTCTCTTTACTTTCATAATAGTTTCATTTGGTGCACAAAGTTCTTCATTCACCTGTTCTTTCATTGCTTGTGCTTCTGATGTCTTATTTAAGAATACACTGCTGAATCCAAGGTCACAAAGATCTGTCTTTTGTTTTTTTTAAATGAGTTTATGGTTTTAGTTTATCTACATGGGTCATTGATTCATTTTGAGTTAATTTTTTTTATGGTGTGAGTTAGGGAGTCTAGCTTTAATTTTTGCATGTGAATAACCATTTCACCCAGCACCATTTATTGAAGAGACCATTCTTTCCCAATTATTATTGTGTGAACCTTCCTTGGTTATAGATATATGAGTTATTTCTGGGCTTATAATTTTACTTCATTCATCTCTATATCTGTCCTCATGCTGGTACTGCATTGTTTGGATTACTGCACCTTTGTGGAATGTTTGAAATCTGGAAGTGTGACTATTACACTTTAAAAATATATATATTGCTTTGCTATGAAGAGCCCATCACAGTTCCATATAAATTTGAGAATTAGCTTTTTTATTTCTGCAAGAAAGCCAGTTGGGATTTTAATAGTAATTGCATTGAGTCTGTATTTGCTTTAGGTAATATTACCATCTTAGAAATATTAGTGTTCCAACTCATAAATATGGAATGTCTTTTCATTCTGGAAATAATTTAAATAAAACAAAAATCAACATTTTGTAGTTTATAGTGTAAAAGTTTTTCATACTTGGTTAAATTCATTTCTATTTAGTTTATTCTTCTTTATGATACTGTAAATAGAACCTTAATATTCTTTTCTGATTAATCATTGTTGGTATACAGAAACATGACTGATTGTTTAGTGTTGACCTTGTACTCTTCAACTTTGTTGAAATCATCTATTAGCTTTAGTAGCTTATTGTAGATTATCTGAGATTTTCTATGTATGAGGATCATGTCATGTGTGAACAGAGATAGTTTTACTTCTTCATGTCCAAATTGACCATCTTTTAGTTCTTTTTCTTGTCTAGTTACTCTGGCTAGAATTTCCAGTACAATGCTGGATAACAATGGTAAAAGTGGATATTCTCGTCTTATTCCATCATAGGTGGAAAGCTTTCAGTCTTTATTCATTGAGTAGTCTTAGCTTGTTTAGATAAAGATTCTTTACATTGTTGAGGGAGATTCTTTTTATTTCTAGCTCTTAAAATATTTTTATAAGGAGTGTTGGATATTGTCAAATAGATTTTATCAATAAATTGAGATGATCATTTGTTTTCCTCCCTTTTCTACTATATGTTGTATTACATTGATTTTCTTTTGCTGAGCCACTCTTATATTCCTGGAATAAAACCCACTTGTTCATGATGTATAAGCCTCTTCATATGCTGAAGAACTCAGTTTTCTAATATACCTGAAGGATTTTTACATCTGTATTTATAAGAGATATTGATCTGTTGGTTTCTTTTCTTGTGCTATCTTTGTCTAGGTTTCATATCAAAATAATTTTTAACCTCACAGAATGAGATAGTAATCTTTTCTTGTACAGTTTTGGGAGGAGTTTGAGAAAGATGAGTGTTAATTCTTCTAAATGTTAGAATTCACAAGTGAAGTCATCTGGTTCTAGCCTTTCTATTGTTAGGAAGGTTTTTGATTAATGATTTTGTAACTTACTCATTATAGGTCTGTTCAGGCATTTTATTTCTTCTTGAATAAGTTTGGTAGTTTGCGTTTTTCTAGAAACTTGTTTACATCATATAATGTCTTAGTTCATTTGTGCTGCTATAGCAAAATACCACAGACTGGGTAATATAAACAATAGTAAATTATTTCTCACAGTTCTGCAAGCTGGAGAAAGTCCAAGATCAAGGTTCTAGCAGGACTGGTGTCTGGAGAGGGCTGCTCTCTGCTTCCAAGATGATACCTTTTTGCTGCACTCTCCAGAGGGAAGGAACACTGCATTCTCACATGGCAGAAGGAACAGAAGGAAAAGACAGCCTTCCCTTCAATCCTAAGCTCTTTTATAAGGGTATTAATTTCATTCGTAATGGTAGGGCCCTAATAATTACCTCTCAAAGTTCACACTTCTCAGTATTATTGCTTTGGGGATTAAATTTCAATATGAATTTGGAAGGGGAATATAATCATTCAAACCATAGCATATAATTTGTATCTGTATTGTTTGATACATATATGTTTATTATTTTGTCTCTTTAATGACCATTTTTCAATATATAGTATCACTTCTTCTCATAACAATTTTTGACTTAAAGTCTAATTTTTCTGATATGAGGATAACAAATTCTGCTCTTTCTTGATTACAGTTTGCAAAGAATATATTTTTCCATCATTTACCCTCAATGCATTGCATCTTTAGAAAGCAAGTAAGTGAATTTTAAAAATCCATTCTGCCATTTTCAGCCTTTTGAATGGAGAATTACATTTATTTACATTTAATTTCTTAAAATGAAGTAATTGTTTCATTGTTCCATTTGTTTTCTGTTTGTCCTTTTACGTGTTTTTTTTCTTTAAGTCCTTCAATGCTGCTTTCTTTTGTGTTTATTTTTATAATGCCCTTCTTTGATCTCTTCTCATTTCCTCTCGAATTTTTTTTCTTATGGTTATGTTGGTCATCATAATTCATATTTTAAATTTAGAACAATTTAGTTTGAACTAATTTTATCTTATGTTCAATCACATACACAAACTGTTTTTATACAGCTTCACCCTTACAATATTGTTTTTGTCACAAATTACATCTATATATATTGTGTGACCATTAATCTAGATTTATAATTATTATTATACATTTTTCTTTTAAATCATGTTAATATAAGAAATATAAAGATGAGTCACAAGCCAAATATACAATAAGACTGCCTTTTCTATCTACCTAGGGAGTTATCATTACTAGAGTTTTTTGTTTCTTCATATAGCTTCAAATTATTGCCTATATTTTTCCACTTCATGCTGAAGCCTCCCTTTGACATTTTTGGAGGGCAGTTCTACTTATTGCAAACTCCCTCAGCTTTCCTCAGCTTTTGTTTATCAGGGAATATCTTGGTTTCTCCTTCATTTGAGTGACGATTTTGCTATATATAGAATTTTTGGTTGAAAGCTCTGTTCTTGGCTGGGAGCAGTGGTTCACACCTGTAATCCCAGCACTTTGGGAGGCTGAGGTGGGAGGATCACCTGAGGCCAGGAGTTTGAGACCAGCCTGGCCAACATGGCAAAACCCTGTCTCTGCTAAAAATACAAAAAATTAGCTGGGTCTGGTGGTGGGAGCCTGTAATCCCCGCTCCTTGGGAGCCTGAGGCAGGAGAATCACTTGAACCCAGGAGGCAGAGGCTGCAGTGAGCTAAGGTGGCGCCATTGCACTCCAGCCTGGGCAACAAGAGTGAAACCCCATCTCAAAAGAAAGAAAGAAAGGAAGCTCTTTTCTTTAAAAATGTTGTTCCACCTTCTTCTTGTCTCTATATTTATTGCTGAGAAATCTCCTGTTAAACTTATTGAGAATCCCTTATATATATCAAGAGGGTTTTCTTTCGCTGCTTGCAGGATCCTATCTTTGTTCTTATCTTCTGCGTATTTTATTATAATGTGTCTCAGAATGCATTTTTTTAGTGTTTTTTTTTTTTTTTTGAGTTTGTTGAACTTCTTGAACATATAGTTCTATGTCCTTTGCCAAATTTGGCAAGTTGTTGGCCGTCATTTGTTTAAATACTCTTTCTGCCCTTTTCCTCTCTCTCCTCTTGTGATTTCCATTATTTTATGTTGCTATGTTTGATGATGTTTTAAATGTGTCTTAGGCTTTGCTCATTTTCCTTCACTCTTTTTTCTTTCTGCTTTCTGTACCAGTAATTTTAATTGATCTATTATTATTTTCACTGGTTCTTTCTTCTGCCTGCTCAAATCTGCTGTTTTATTCTTCTACTGAGTTTGTATGTAAGTTCTTAGACTTTTAAGCTCCAGAATTTCTGTGCATGTATGTGTTTAATACTTTTTATCTCTTTATTGATATTTTCTACTTTTTTCATACATTGTTATTCTGGTTTCCTTTAGCTCTTTATTCATGATTTCCTTCAGCTCTGTGAGCATATTTAACACAATTGATTTAAAGTCATTCTCTATTGAGTAAAATGTCTGTGCCTCCCCAGCAGCAGTTTCTATTAACATCTGTGAATGGACTTCACTTTCTTATTTCTTTGGATGCTTTACAATTTCTGATTGAAAAGTGTACATCTTGAATATTACAGTTTGGAACTCTTATAATCAAATTTTTCTTCCTTTTCTGGGTGGGCTTTTGTTTCTTGCTGTAGGCTGTAGCTATTTGTGTTTTCTTTGGTAGAATATTTTAAACTATTTTTGAAAAATCACTATTATTCACCATGTATGTTCTCTGAAGTCTCTGTTCTTTAGGTTGTGGTTAGCTAGGGTTTTCTGTTTGATTATTCTGTTTTCCTTAATATTTTGGTTTAGAAATGTTTTCTTGAATATTAGGAGGCAAATGTGGCTATGGTGGGGTGTGGAGGCTAGGAGAAATAAAAAACAGAGAGGGTAAAATACCTTTTCAGGTTAGCTCTGTGTTTCACACTTAAACACTTAGCCAGCCCATTTACAACTCTACCTTAATCTTTACTTCCTGCCTCTCTTATTGTGATAAACCTGGATTCCTTATTATAGTTGAAGCCCAGCATAAGGTTTATATCTTTACCACCTACACTGCTTTCTACTTTATTATATGATTCATAATAGTTTCTATTACAAACTAAGTTCTCAATAAATGCAGGCATGCATTGTAATATTGCAGGTTTAGTTTCAGAACACTGCAGTTAAACAACTATTCCAATAAAGCAAATCATACAATTTTTTTTTGGTTTCCCACTGCATGTAAAAGTTATGTTTATCGTATTTGTAGTTTATTAAGTGTGCAATCGCATTATGTATTATAAAAATGAACAGACCTTAAATAAAAACTGCTTTATTGTTAAAAAAATTCTATTTGATGATCTGAGCCTTCTGCAAATCATAATCTTTTTGTCAGTAGAGGGTCTTTCCTTGATGTTGATGACTGCTAACTGAACAAGCTAGTGGTTGCTGAAGGTGGGTGTGGCTGTGACAGTTTCTTAAAATAAGAGAGAAATAAAGTTTGCCACATTAACTGGCAATTCCTTTCACAAAATTTTATCCATAGCATGCACTGCTGTTTGAGAGCATTTTCTCCACAATAGACCTTCTTTCAAAATGGGAGTTTCTTCTCTCAAATCCTACTTCTTTATCAACTAAGTTTATGTAATATTCGAAATCCTTTGTTGTCACGTCAACAGTGTTTACAGCATGTTAGCTAGGAGTAGATTCCATGTCAAGAAACTGCTCCTTTCACTTCATCCATAAGAAAAAACTCCTCGTTCATTCAAGATTTATTTTGAGATTGCAGCAGTTCAGTTTCATCTTCATGTTCCACTTTTAATTCAAATTCTCTTGCTGCCCCTACCACATCTGCAGTTATTTCCTGCACTGAAGTCTTGAACCTCTCAAAGTTATCAGTACTGATTGGAATCAGCTTCTTCCAAACTCCTGTTAATGTTGATATTTTGACCTTTTCACATAAATCACAAATGTTCTTAATGGCATCTAGAAATGTGAATTATTTCCAGAAGATTTTTAATTCACTTTGCCCAGACCCTTCAGAAGAATCAGTATCTATGGCAGCCTTATCAAATGTAATTCTTAATTACCAACATTGGAAAATCAAAATTACTCCTTGATCCGTAGGCTGCAGAATGGATGTTGTGTTAGCAGGCATGAAAACAACCATTAATATTGATGTACATCTTCATCAGGGCTCTTGGGTAACCAGGTGTATTGTCAATGAGCAGTGATATTTTAAAAGGAATATTTTTATGAGTAGTAAGTCTCAGTAGTGGATTTAAAATATTTAGTAAACCATGCTGTATCCAAGTGTTGTCAGCCAGGCTTTGTTGTTTCATTTATAAAGCACAAGCTGAGTAGCTTTAGCATGATTCTTAAGGGCCCTAGGGTTCTGAGGATAGTAAATGAGCCTTGGCTTCCACAGAATGTCACCAGCTGCATTAGCCCCTAATAGGAGAGTCAGCCTCTCCTTTGAAGCTTTGAAACCAGGCATTGACTTTTCCTCTCTAGCTATGAAAGTCCTAGATAGATCAAGACCATGCTGGCTAACACGATGAGAATCCATCTCTACTAAAAATACAAAAATTAGGCAGGCAGGGTGTCACGTGCCTATAGTCCCAGCTACTCGGGAGGCTGAGGCAGGAGAATCACTTGAACCCAGGAGGTGGAGGTTGCAGTGAGCTGAGATCGCACCATTACACTCCAGCCTGGGTGACAGAGCGACACTCCGTCTCAAAAAAAGGAAAGTTCTAGATAGTATCTTCTTACAATAAAAAGCTGTTTTGTCTACATTGAAAATCTCTCGTTTAGCATAGCCACCTTCATCAACGATCCTAGCTACATCTTCTTGATAACTGGCTGTAGTTTCTACATGAGCACTTGCTGCTTCACCTTGCACTTTGATATTATGGAAATAGGGTCTTTCCTTAAACCTCATGAACCAATCTCTCTTAGTTTCAAAGTTTTCTTCTGTAGCCTTCTCATCTCTCTCAGCCTTCACAGAATTGAAGAGAGTTAGGACCTTACTCTAGATTAGGCTTTGGCTTAAGGGAAAGGTGTGGCTAGTTTGATCTTCTATCCAGAACACAAAAACTTTCTTTATATCAACAATAAGCCTGTTTTGTTTTTCTATCATTTGTATGTTCAATAGATTAGCACTTTTAATTTCCCATAAGAACTTTTTGTGGCTAACTGTTGGGAGCAAGAGGCTTAGCTTTCAGCCTACCTAAGCTTTTGATGTGCCTTCTTCACTAAGCTTAATTGTTTTTAGTTTTGGATTTAAAGTGACAGACATTTGACTCTTCCTTTCGCTGGAATACTTAGAGGCTACTGTTGCCCTAATTTCAATATTGTTATGTCTTAGGGAATAAGGGGGCCTGAAGAGAGAGAGAGAGACAGGGGATCAATTGGTTGATGTCACGGTTAGAACACGCACAACATTATGCTCTTATGTGGTCATGGTTCATGGCTCCCCAAGACAACTACAATAGTGGCATCAAAGATCCCTGATCACAGATCACCGTAACAGATATAATAATAATAAAGTATGAAAAATTGTGAGAATTACCGAAGTTTGACACAGAGACATGAAGTGACTGCATGCTATCAGAAAAATGGTGTCAATAGGCTTGCTTGACAACAGGCTACCACAACCCTTCAAGTTGTAAAAAACAATGTCTGCAAAGTGTAATTGAGCAAAGCACAATAAAATGAGTATGCTTGTATTGACCAGTGACAAATTTATCTGGTTATCCACTCTTGCAATAAAAATGTCAGAGAATTGTTTAGTGAAAGTTCTTGATAATGAAGTAATAAATAATAATACAATAGAATAAGGTTATTAAAGCTGATGATATTACCAAATAGAAAAGAAAGTCAACATCTTTTGAGACTTGAATAATATTTATTATAACCCTGGCAGTTTGAAATGTGGAAAAACATAAACTTGTAAAATACACAATAAAGTACGTTCAGTAGAACTTAGTGTAGTGTACTCTAACAAAGTATTGAGGACCCAAAAATGCTTTGGGGCATTTGAATTGCATATATCACCATTTGTAAAATTAGACATTGCAAATAAATTCTGAGATTTCAAATAAAATGTGTATTAATTTATTTAAGATGACAATAATAAAACAATTACATATAAATATAAATAACAAAATGAAAAGTTATGTTTTTCAAAACAAAAAAAGCAAAATAAATGGTATTGTTTCACATTTTTACAAATGTATTTAATGTCTAACTCAGAGGAAGATGGCAGAATTCTCATATGTGCTCCTCTGTTAATTCTTTTGCAATACATTGTTTTGGTTGAGATATATGCAGAAATTCTGACCTGATAAAGACACATAGTCAGAAATAGAATATGTATGTTAATAGCTATTTCAGATCATTGTAGAGGTTTTTTGCTGTTACTTCCTGAAAACTAGATAAGTGCTAGATGCTTGAAGGTTAATTGCAGTGTAAAATCTGAATAATATTTTAATACTCTGCTACATTAAAGTCCATTGGTCCATCTTACATGTTGAAAGACTCTTACCCACGTCTACTTCTGTAATATGAATTGGTCATTTGTAAAATATTAGTTCATTGAGTTATGCAGGTCTTCCAAATGTCAGTGGAGTTTATTATACAGCCATGCACATTATAATGGCTTTTAGGTCAATGACAGACTTCATATATATTGGTGGTCCCATTTGATTGTAATTCAGCTGTAAAGTTCTTATCCCCTAGTGACACAACCGTAGTAAGGTCATAGTAGCATGATTCATTACTCTGGTGTTTTTGGTGATGCTGGCATAAGTAAACCTACTGTGTTGCCTGTCCTGTAAAATTATATCACATAGAATTACATATGGTACATAATAATAATGATAATAGACTACTACATTACTGGATTATGTATTTAATATACTACACTTTTATTATTTTACAGTGCATTCCTTCTACCTATTAAAACATAAGTTAACTGTATAATAGCCTCACGAATGTTCTTCAGGAGGTATTCCAGAAGAAGGCATGGTTATCATAGGAGATTTTAGCCCCATGCACCTTATTTACCCTGAAGACCTTCTAGTGGAATAGGATATGAAGGTGGAAGACAGTGATATTGATGATACTGACCCTGTGTAGGCCTAGGCTAATATGTGTGTGTTTATGTCTTTGTTTTTTAAAAATAAAAATATTAAAATAGACAAAGGTTATGCAATAAGGACATAAAGAAGGAAAATATTTGTGTTCAGTTGTCAAATGTGTTTTTAAGCTAAGTGTTATTAGAAAAGTGTCAATGATGAAAAACATTGATAAAGTAAAGCAGTTACAGGAAGCTAAGGTTAATCTACTACTAAAGAAAGAAAATTTTTTAATGCATTTAATGTAGACTGTGCAGTGCTTATAAAGTCTACAGTAGTGTGCAGTAATATCTTAGGCATTCATATTCACTCACCACTCACTTACTGACTCACTCAGAGTAACTTCCAATCCTACAAGCTCCATTCTTGAAGTGCCCTATCCAGGTGTACCATTCTTTTTATCATTTATAATGTTTTTTAACTATATATTTTCTATGTTTAGATACACAAATAGTTACCATTATGTTTCAATTGCCTGTGATTTTCAGTGCACTAACAGGCAGTACAGGTTTGCAGCCTAGCAGTAATAGGCTGTATCTTATAGCATAGATATGCAGTAGACTTTAGCATCTGGGTTTGTGTAAGTACATTCTACGATGTCTGCACAACCATGAAGTTGCCTAATAGCACATTCCTCAGAACATATCCCTGTCATTTAGTGACATGTGATTGTACAGTTGTTAAAAATCATGATGAATTTCACTAATGATTTCACTAGGAAAAGCTCACTAGAGAATTATTGAGAAATGATCAAACTTAAGATGGAGAATATCAGTTTTCTAAAATTCATTTTCTTGCTTGAAGGGGCTCGAATTTTTTTGTTTGTAACAAATACAGCCAATTGTGGATTTTGTGAAGAAAAAGTTTACTTCATTTTGAAGAAAAACACCTGTCAGACACTTAAATCTGAATAATTGTAGTTTGTTACTCATTCCTTCCAGTAAAAATAATGTTCTATGAGAAACAATGTGGTGAGTTTAGCTCATAACTCAAGCAACTGACCATATGCTTTTCCATGAGATAACCATCATATTTCGTATGCACTGGTGTTATTTTATTTTTTGACATACTGCACCACACAGATATTCAAAAGATGTTGAGAGTCAAGATGTAGTACAATTAATATTTTTTACTACTTCTGAACTGAAACTGGGTTTATTTTTAAATTGAGGCTATATGGCCATAAAGAATATAATGACAATTGTTTGATGTCACAGTGTCGACTTATGAAAGGGTGCCTGGAGTTTTATCAACCATTGCTTTTGTATCACAAGTGAAAATTTCAACCCATTGACAAGGACAATAATGTCTTCGTGTTATTATGAATACAGTTTTGATTTCTGTGACCCCTGTCTTCCTGAAGTCCACAACCATACACCAGAAACCTCTGGTGTAGGCTAATAAAGACATGCAATAAAAATTTGGTCATGGTAATGTGATAGAATCAAGCAACATATGTGAAGGAGGAACTTAAATATGACTTTATAGAGCCATAACACTTTAGGGTAAAAGGAGGACATCATTTCAGGGTGTATGTGTGTACACATGTGTATGTATCACAGTGTGTAAATGCTCTTCTCCAAATGTGGAAAGCTTACATACATTTCTCATATTTAGATTCTTTACTCATATTCAGGAGATGTTAATTTGAAAAAGGTCTCAGAAAGAGGTTTGAGAATCATTAGCATTTTGAATGATTGACTAATTTGGCTAATTAGAACTATGAGTAAATCCTAAAGCTCTTGACTTATGTAATCAATGGATGATAAGTTTGAGGTAAAATTTAATAATAGTCCTTCAGAACCTAAAGGTACATTTCTTATTTGATGAGCACTTTGAGTCACTGCCAAAAATGAAAGAGCCTAGTATAAGATATACCAGAAATTTGAGAATCCTAAGAGATGCAAGCTAGTTTGCAGCTCATCATGTGTGTTTGTATGGGTTTTGTGTGTGTGCAAGCATGTATGTGTAGAGCTTCAAATAAAATTCTATACAAAGAATCAAACATGCCAAAGCAGCATTTTTCTGGTTGAAGAGGTCTAATCACATAACCTCTGTCCTTCCCTCATCTCTTCTCTATCCTGAAAGAGTTCACTAGAGTCCTTAGAACACTGCTGGATATAGTGTGATTTAGTCCAACTCTTGGTCTTTGCAAATGCAAAAAATGATGCATAAATAAATGGAGTGATCTAACCAAAGAGATACCTGCTAGTGAAGGGTTGAATTAGGACTAAAATATGACCTTCTAACTCTGATCACTGTTTGTGAAGCATCATTGCCCATCCCCTTTTGAGAACAGAGAAGCAGAGGTTAGATTTATTACAGTATGCTGGGCACTGCAGGGAAGGTGAAGGCATTGTAGGTGGTAAACTTCTTGCAGATTATGCTTTTGTTTTATGTACTCAGTATGAATATCCTAAATATTATTTCTATATTTGTTGAAAAAAGAGCAGAGTTTTGTGAGAAAACAGAAAGAAGCAGATAATAAATTATATTTCATTTGTCAGCTGTCCTCCTCATTCTATTTAATACAGGCACAGTTTGGTCTTAATTTAGTTACTTACCCTATGTTGAGTTTTAAAAATGTATTTATAATTAAAATATGGCTTTCTGTATGAAAGTCCCATTTTGGAAATATACTCAGATAGGAAAGAACATTCATTGGATGATTGTCTGACCCAGGAAACAAATTAAATTAAGGAGTATGTATTATTAGGCTTTGTAAGATACAGGGATAATCTGAGTCAAAAGTAGTTCTTGCTTTCTTTATTTTTTATTTTATTTAAGTTCTAGGGTACATGTGCAAAACGTGCGGGTTTGTTACATATGTATACATGTGCCATGTTGGTGTGCTGCACCCATTAACTCATCATTTACATTAGGTATATCTCCTAATGCTATCCCTCCCCGCTCCCCCTACCCAATGACAGGCCCTGGTGTGTGATGTTCCCCTTCCTGTGTCCAAGCGTTTTCATTGTTCAATTCCCACCTATGAGTGAGAACATGAGGTGTTTGGTTTTTTGTCTTTGCGACAGTTTGCTGAGAATGATGGTTTCCAGCTTCTTCCATGTCCCTACAAAGGATATGAACTCATCCTTTTTTATGGCTGCATAGTATTCCATGGTGTATATGTACCACATTTTCTTAATCCAGTCTATCATTGATGGACATTTGGGTTGGTTCCAAGTCTTTGCTATTGTGAATAGTGCTGCAGTAAACATATGTGTGCATTGTGTCTTTATAGCAGCATGATTTATAATCCTTTGGGTATGTACCCAGTAATGGGATCACTGGGTCAAATGGTATTTCTAGTTCTAGATCCTTGAGGAATCGCCACACTGTCTGCCATAATGGTTGAACTAGTTTGCAGTCCCACCAACAGTGTAAAAGTGTTCCTATTTCTCCACATCCTCTCCAGCACCTGTTGTTTCCTGACTTTTTAATGATCGCCATTCTAACTGGTGTGAGATGGTATCTCATTGTGGTTTTGATTTGCATTTCTCTGATGGCCAGTGATGATGAGCATTTTTTCATGTGTCTTTTGGCTGCATAAATGTCTTCTTTTGAGAAGTGTCTGTTCATATCTTTTGCCCACTTTTTGTTGGGTTTGTTTTTTTCTTGTAAATTTGTTTGAGTTCATTGTAGATTCTGGATATTAGCCCTTTGTCAGATGAGTAGATTGCAAAAATTTTCTCCCATTCTGTAGGTTGCCTGTTCACTCTGATGGTAGTTTCTTTTGCTGTGCAGAAGCTCTTTAGTTTAATTAGATCCCATTTGTCAATTGTGGCTTTTGTTGCCATTGCTTTTGGTGTTTTAGACATGAAGTCCTTGCCCATGCCTATGTACTGAATGGTATTGCCTAGGTTTTCTTCTAGGGTTTTTATGGTTTTAACTCTAACATTTAAGTCTTTAATCCATCTTGAATTAATTTTTGTATAAGGTGTAAGGAAGGGATCCAGTTTCAGCTTTCTACATATGGCTAGCCAGTTTTCCCAGCACCATTTATTAAATAGGGAATCCTTTCCCCATTGCTTGTTTTTCTCAGGTTTGTCAAAGATCAGATAGTTGTAGATGTGTGGTACTATTTCTGTTCTGTTCCATTGGTCTATATCTCTGTTTTGGTACGAGTACCATGCTGTTTTGGTTACTGTAGCCTTGTAGTATAGTTTGAAGTCTGGTAGCATGATGCCTCCAGCTTTGTTCTTTTGGCTTAGGATTGTCTTGGCAATGTGGGCTCTTTTTTGGTTCCATATGAACTTTAAGGTAGTTTTTTCCAATTCTGTGAAGAAAGTCATTGGTAACTTGATGGGGATGGCATTGAATCTATAAATTACCTTGGGCAGTATGGCCATTTTCACGATATTGATTCTTCCTATCCATGGGCATGGAACGTTCTTCCATTTTTTTGTGTCCTCTTTTATTTCGTTGAGCAGTGGTTTGTAGTTCTCCTTGAAGAGGTCCTTCACATCCCTTGTAAGTTGGATTCCTAGGTATTTTATTCTCTTTGAAGCAATTGTGAATGGGAGTTCACTCATGATTTGGCTCTCTGTCTGTTATTTGTGTATAAGAATGCTTGTGATTTTTGCACACTGATTTTATATCCTGAGATTTTGCTGAAGTTGCTTATCAGCTTAAGGAGATTTTGGGCTGAGACGATGGGGTTTTCTAAATATACAATGATGTCATCTGCAAACAAGGACAATTTGACTTCCTCTTTTCCTAACTGAATACCCTTTATTTCTTCCTCCTGCCTGATTGCCCTGGCCAGAACTTCCAGCACTATGTTGAATAGGAGTGGTGAAAGGGGGCATCCCCGTCTTGTGCCAGTTTTCAAAGGGAATGCTCCCAGTTTTTGCCCATTCAGTATGATATTGGCTGTGGGTTTGTCATAGATAGCTCTTATTATTTTGAGATATGTCCCATCAATACCGAATTTATTGAGAGTTTTTAGCCTGAAGTGCTGTTGAATTTTGTCAAAGGCCTTTTCTGCATCTATTGAGATAATCATATGGTTTTTGTCTTTGGTTCTATTTATATGATGGATTATGTTTGTTGATTTGCATATGTTGAACCAGTCTTGCATCCTAGGGATGAAGCCCACTTGATCATGGTGGATAAGCTTTTTGATGTGCTGCTGGATTCGGTTTGCCAGTATTTTATTGAGGATTTTTGCATCAATGTTCATCAGGGATATTGGTCTAAAATTCTCTTTTTTTTGTTGTGTCTCTGCCAGGCTTTGGTATCAGGATGATGCTGGCCTCATAAAGTGAGTTAGGGAGGATTCTCTCTTTTTCTGTTGATTGGAATAGTTTCAGAGGGAATGGTACCAGCTTCTCCTTGTACGTCTGGTAGAATTCAGCTGTGAATCCATCTGGTCCTGGACTTTTTTTGGTTGGTAAGCTATTGATTATTGCCTCAATTTCAGAGCCTCTTATTGGTCTATTCAGAGATTCAACTTCTTCCTGGTTTAGTCTTGGGAGGGTGTGTGTGTCCAGGAATTTATCCATTTCTTCTAGATTTTCTAGTTTATTTGCATAGAGGTGTTTATAGTATTCTCTGATGGTAGTTTGTATTTCTGTGGGATCAGTGGTAATATCCCCTTTATCATTTTTTATTGTGCGTATTTTATTCTTCTCTCTTTACTTCTTTATTAGTTTTGCTAGTGGTCTATCAATTTTGTTGATCTTTTCGAAAAACCAGCTCCTGGATTCATTGACTTTTTGAAGGGTTTTTTATATCTCTGTCTCCTTCAGTTCTGCTCTGATCTTAGTTATTTCTTGCCGTCTGCTAGCTTTTGAATGTGTTTGCTTTTGCTTCTCTAGTTCTTTTAATTGTGTTGTTAGGGTGTCTATTTTAGATCTTTCCTTCTTTCTCTTGTGGGCATTTAGTGCTATGAATTTCCCGCTACACACTGCTTTAAATGTGTCCCAGAGATTCTGGTATGTTGTGTGTTTGTTCTCATTGGTTTCAAAGAACATCTTTATTTCTGCCTTCATTTTGTTATGTACCCAGTAGTCATTCAGGAGCAGGTTGTTCAGTTTCCATGTAGTTGAGCAGTTTTGAGTGAGTTTCTTAATCCTGAGTTCCAGTTTGATTGCGCTGTGGTCTGAGAGACAGTTTTTTATAATTTCTGTTCTTTTACATTTGCTGAGGAGAGCATTCCTTCCAAGTATGTGGTCAATTTTGGAATCGGTGTGGTGTGGTGCTGAAAAAATGTATATTCTGTTGATTTGGGTGGAGAGTTCTGTAGATGTCTATTAGGTCCACTTGGTGCAGTGCTGCGTTCAATTCCTGGATGTCCTTTTTAACTTTCTGTCTCGTTGATCTGCCTAATGTTGACAGTGGGGTGTTAAAGTTTCCCATTAATATTGTGTGGGAGTCTAAGTCTCTTTGTAGATCTCTAAGGACTTGCTTTATGAATCTGGGTGCTCGTGTATTGGGTGCATATATATTTAGGATTGTTAGCTTTTCTTGTTGAATTGATCCCTTTACCATTACGTAATGGCCTTCTTTGTCTCTTTTGATCTTTGTTGGTTTAAAGTCTGTTTTATCAGACACTAGGATTACAACCCCTGCCTGTTTTTGTTTTCCATTTGCTTGGTAGATCTTCCTCCATCCCTTCATTTTGAGCCTATGTGTGTCTCTGCATGTGAGATGCGTCTCCTGAATACAGTACACTGATGTGTCTTGTCTCTTTATCCAATTTGCCAGTCTGTGTCTTTTAATTGGAGCATTTGGCCCATTTACATTTAAGGTTAATATTGTTATGTGTGAATTTGATCCTGTCAGTATGATGTTAGCTGGTTATTTTGCTCGTTAGTTGATGCAGTGTCTTCCTAGCATCAATGGTCTTTACAATTTGGCATGTTTTTGCAGTGGCTGGTACTGGTTGTTCCTTTCCATGTTTAGTGCTTCCTTCAGGAGCTCTTTTAGGGCAGGCCTGGTGGTGACAAAATCTCTCAGCATTTGCTTGTCTGTAAAGGATTTTATTTCTCCTTCACTTATGAAGCTTGGTTTGGCTGGATATAAAATTCTGGGTTGAAAATTCTTTTCTTTAGGAATGTTGAATATTGGCCCCCACTCTCTTCTGGCTTATAGGGTTTCTGCCGAGAGATCCGCTGTTAGTCTGATGGGCTTCCCTTTGTGGATAACCCGACCTTTCTCTCTGGCTGCCCTTAACATTTTTTCCTTCACTTCAACTTTGGTGTATCTGACAATTATGTGTCTTAGAGTTGCTCTTCTCAAGGTGAGAAGAGAAGTTTAGGGAAAAAAAGAGTAAAAAGAAACAAAGAAAGCCTCCAAGAAATATGGGACTATGTGAAAAGATCAAATCTACCTCTGATTGGTGTACTTGAAAGTGACGGGGCGAATGGAACCAAGTTGGAAAACACTCTGCAGGATATTATCCGGGAGAACTTCCCCAACCTAGCAAGGCAGGCTAACATTCAAATTCAGGAAATACAGAGAATGCCACACAGATACTCCTCAGGAAGAGCAACTCCAAAAGTAATTCTAATTAGTAGAATTTATCAGGAATGGACCAGAGCAGACTCTGTTTTTTTTTTTTTTTTAAGAAACCTAGCTATTTCTGCAACAAGAGATTAGAAAGAGTAAGAAAAGGCAAAAGAAAGATATATAGAAGGAAATCCCTAGTATGCCAAGAAGAGCAAAGGTGATTCCCTGGAACTGTAAAACAGATGTAGTGTATTTGACTTTTCCTTTTTGGCTTTTGCTTGAATGGATGAATTAGGCTTCACAATACTAAGTGACAAGCTATTAGGTTTTCTTCATTAAAGAGCTTGAACTATAGATTATTATTTTTCCAATTTATATTTTGGAACTTATAAAGTCAACATAGTTAAATACACTTCTGAAAAGAGACTTTTCTGTGAATTTTACATTTTACTATATTTTTCCAATAACTATAAAGAAGCAACTTCATATTGTGTTTCTAAAAGTAAATCTGAGAATACACGTAGAAACATTTCGGTTGAAGAGAACAACTATGAAAGAGATATTTCAAGAGAATGAAAAATATTTTTTGTTTGTCTGAAAGTGAATAATGTGAAGGTGCTTTATAGGGCCCTGTATATTTTACATTTTAATAATAATAAAGACAATAGCTAAAAGTAAATGAGCTCCGTAATTTGCTTGGTGATTTCTATATAAGTCTTCTTTTATGTAAAACACAAAACAAAACATAACCCAAAAAATCTATGCAAAATATACCAGGATATATCTTTTTTTTTTTTTGGTTCTACTACTGTATTAGTTCATTTTCACGCTGCTGATAAAGATATACCCGAGACTGGGATATTTACAAAAGACGAGGTTTTATTGGACTTACAGTTCTGTATGGCTGGGGAGGCTTCACAATCATGGTGGAAGAAAAGGAGGAGAAAGTCACATCTTACGGGGATGGCAGGAGGCAAAAAGAAACCTTGTGCAGGGAAACTGCCATTTTTAAAACCGTGAGATCTCATGAGACTCATTCAGTACCATGAGAACAGTGAAGGAAAGACCTGACCCCATATTTCAGTCACCTCCCACTGGGTTCTTCTCATGACATGTGGGAATTGTGGGAGTTACAATTGAAAATGAGATTTGGGTAGGGACATAGCCAAACCATATTAACTACTATACAAATTAACTATTTAAATTTATTTTTTTAATGTACATTAAAAACTGTAAATTTCTTAAGGAGGAAAGAAGAAACTGTTTTTCATTTTCTAGGTGATAAGTTAGGAAACATTAAGAAACAAGCTTGTGATCTTATCCTGATCTCAAATGACATAAATTTAGACCATATTTCATCTGCTGCCTAAAGTTTCAGCATCCTAGGGAAAGAAAAGAACAGATATTTTAAAAAGAAAATAAGAATAGAATTTATATTTCATATGTTAAGTACTAAAACAAAATCTTAGGATCTGCTGACAAGTTAGAGAATGCACAAAGCAATGGCAGATATTTTGAAAAATCTAGAATTTAATCTTGACTATTGTGATTTGCATTCTGTAGTTTCATCTAGCTGTGCAAGGAGGGGTAGAAGTGATGTTATTTCAATCAGCTAGTCAATAATATTTAAAATGGAAATGCATTAGAAGACTATCCCATATGACACTAACCATGGAAAATGAAGAATACGATTAAGAGTAAATATTTAAACTACAGCCCTGGGAATGGAGATGGTGGTACTGGGAAAACCCAGCTAAGGGAGAATCACGTGAGTAGAAAGGAAAATAGCTTGTTCTTCTTGTGGGAAATTTTAAATAACTACTTGATTAGATTTTTCTTTCTATTTCTGTTTTAATAGGAAATTATTTTGAATAGGATTTAAATTAAGGAAATATTTCTAAACCTCTGATATCAAGAATAAACTAGATAAAACTAACACAATTATTTTCAGCAAAGAGGAACCAAGAACTTAAAGTCATAAATTAGCTTTTCTTCAGTTGAATGCTGAAGAACTTTCTTTTTTTTTCATCTAAGATTATGCAGCCAACTCATTTCAAAGGCCATTTAAAAGCAAGATTGGATTTTTGGAAGAAAGAACAGAAATACCCATAGCAGTCTATGATCTTAAAGGACCAAATAGAGCACAGAAAAGAACATGGCGTGAATTATTCAATTTCAGTTCTGTTGCCACATTCATATTGTCAAAGCTGAACTTTTTACTTAAGATTCTACAATACCTTGTAACTATTTAACCAATAAGGATTCTGTTTCCAGGTCTCTAAATACTTGTGAATTGTTAAACCATATATTTATTTGGATTTTTGTGTCCCTATTCATAATTATAGTATCTGATAGGGTTAACAAATATTTACACTTTTAATAGCAACTATTAAAATATAGTAGGTTTTCAGACTTTCATACATGTGTACTCTCTCTCTCTCTCTCTCTCTCTGTCTCTCTCTCTCTCTCTATATATATATATATAATTGTGCCTTATATTTTGTTACAGAATCACTAGAGATATATTCTCAAGTAACTTGCTAGTAAGGAGAACAACCTATGAGAGGTGAATATTAAATTTTAGCAATATTTTCTTTACATTAGGGACTAAGTATTGATTTTAGAATTTCTTTCTCTAAAGATTAATAAAAATTAATAATATTTTGAAAGAGTGTCTCAAAATGATTTACAATCTAATATTTTTTTCTGAGCCACCTTCTCGTTGTTCAGTGTGAGTGATTGAGATGAATGATTGATATCCAGGTTTCTCTGTTTGCTAGGTAAAAATAAAGAGAAAATTATTTAAATGTATCAAATAGTAAGATTTCTCTAGGTGATTCTCCCTGGGTCTGATTCTAACATAAATTAAGTTCCTGCTAAATTACGTTGCAATGTGAGTAATAAATGTTTGTTGATGACTGAGTTCCGTTGTAACTATAAATTGCCTGTAACAATGAGCAGAGGGTAAGCTTGGAATTTAAGACATATTGTAGACAAGTGTCTTGAAGAAAGCAAAAAAAAAAAAAAAATTCCTACATTTTAGTGAATGCTGTGACATTTCTCTCTTTGAGAAAAGAGGATATGCTATTATCTTCCTGGGCAAGTTGAGGCAGAATGGGATGCTAATAAGCTCCAGAGGGGCTTACACTAAGGAGTTGGATTTCAGTTGGAAGAAGGGTTCTAGTGGCTAAAAGGCAATAAGAATATTCCTAAAATATTTTTGTAAGATTGTATATTGTCTTGTGAAAAGATGCTATTAATACATTATTAAAGAGAAAAGGAAAGAAAACTTATTTTTGGGAGATAGTATAGCTTAATGAAGAAAACCTAAAGTCAGAGAGATGCAGGTTCAAGTTTCAGCTCTGCCAATTACTAGTTACGTGGTCTTTGTCAACATTGCCGAGCCTGTTTCTCTGTGAAATGAGGATACTAATACCCAGTAGGGTTTGGGGGACATTCAGAAAAGAGAGGATTGGTTGCAAGGAATGAACATCCCGAAGGATTACAATGAGACAGGGGGAGGCTGCTCATAAAAAAAAAAAAAAAAAAAAAAAAAAGATAGAGGATAGAAGTTAGCCTTGGAGGCTATTAAAAGAGAAGCTTAATTATTCATTATGTGTATAAGGAAGGAGTCTTTATTCTAGGAATGAAAAATTCAAGAGACCTCAGGGTAGGCAGCTAAGGAAAATTTAAGGAAAGGAACAAAGAAAGCAACACAGAAGAAGAAAAAAACAAAGAAATGAATGAAGTATATAGTTTTCTCAGTATTGAATAAAGCCAAATACATTAATTATTAAATTACATAATATCTCCTTCTCATTATTGTTTAAACAGAAGATTTATTTATAGTTATTTGAATTGCTTTGAAGGGTTGGTTTTAGAATAAGTTCCAGGGGCAATTGGAGTTAAAAAATATTATTAAAATTATTAAACTATTCCAGAGCACAGAAAATAAACACAACTTCAAAAATATTGAATAAATGTATTAATGTGCCAAGTGATCAATATAATACAGAATGGAAAACAAAGGACTGTGTAACTTTGTCTGTTAACCTAGATGTAAACATTTAAATAAAAGTTTAACATATTAATCTAATAGTATAAAAATAAGAATTCAACGTGCTTGGTTGGATTTTGTTACAGACATATCGGGTGGTTGTAAACAGGAGATTGTATTTATGTAATTTTTATATCAATGTGTTAAAGGAGAAAAATATGTTTATATAAAAGAGTCTGGAAAGAAATAATGATTATTTCATAATGGAAAAAAAGCAATGTCACTGACACTATGATCATTCAACATTTTTTTAAAATAAATTAATTTTTTTTAGTTTTAGGGATTAGGCCTCACTCTCTTGCCCAGGCTGGAGTGAAGTGGCGCAGTGGCACAGTCATAGCTCACTCTAACCTTGAACTAACTCCTCAACTCAAATGATCCTCCTGCCTCAGCCTCCCAAGCAGCTGGGATTATAGACATGAGCCACCTTGCCCAGCTCAGTATCATTTTTCACATTCAAGCTAATGAAATAATTCAATAGAATTAAACAAATGCTTTTCAAAAATGAAGTTGGAACAATTAGTCATCCATAGACACAAAACAAAATAAACCAGCAGACAAACAAAACTTCATATTAAGCCTCATGCCATGTGTGAAGATATACAAAAAGTAACTCAAAATAGAGCAGGGAGGAATATGTGAAATAAAACTATAACATTTTTTAGGAAAAAGCCATAGGAGAAAGTTTCAAGACCAAGAAATAGGTGAAACATTGTTAGACTTGACAGCAAAAGCACGATTCATAAAAGGAAAAATTGATTACCTGGATCTCATAAATATTGATACCTTTTTCTCCACAAAACATTTTCTAAAGAGGGTGAAAAGACAACTTACAGACTGGAGGGAAATATTTGAAATTCACGTATCTGACAAAGCATTTGTATTTAGAATAGACGAAGAACTCATCAAATGCAGCATTAAACAAACACACCAACGAAATAATTCAGTTAGAAAGTGGGCGAATGACATGAACAGATATTTCACTGAAGACTATATGGGAATCATAAATAAGCACATTAAATGATGTTCAACCTCATTAGCTACTAGAGAAATGCAAATTAAACCACAAGGGGATATCACTACACGTATATAAGAATAGCCATTTTTTTTTAATGACATCAAATGCTGCCGAAGATGCAGAGAAACTGGATCATTTATACATTGCTGGTGAGAATGTAAAATGGTAAAACTACTGTAAAAAAGCATATGGAATTTTTAAATAAAACTGTAATGTGTTTACATTTGACCCAGCAACTGCATATTTGGGCATTTATCTTGGAGAAAAGAAAATGTATGTTTGTACAAAAATCTATAAAAAAATGTTTATAGTAACTTTATTTTTAATATCCCCAAACCAGAAATAACAATAACTCAAATGTTCTTCAATGAGTGAAGAGTTAAAGAATGGTCTCTCAATACCCTGGAATATTACTCAGCCATCAAAAGTGATAGATTATTTATACATTCAACAACTTGAATGGATCTCAAGGGAATTATTCTGAGTGATAAAAGCCAGTCCAAAAGCTTAGGTATGGTATGATTGTGATTATATAGCATTCTTAAAATTACAAAATTTTAAAAATGGAGAACAGAGTAGTGGTTGGTTGCCAAGGGATTGGGTGGGGGACTGTTAATGAAAGAGTGGCAGAAGAGATCCTAGTGATGGAACTGTTCTTGACTGTGGTGCTGGTCACCTGTGATGCAGTTGCGTAGAACTAAACACGCAAGAATGCACGTGAATAAATGAATACATGTAAAACTGCAGAAATCTGAGTAAGGTTGATGGAGTATATCAATGTCAGTTTCTTTTCGTGATATTATTATGCAGGATGTTACTTGTCATTGAGAGAAACTGAATGAAGAGTACACAGACTTTCTCTGTAATATTTCTTGCAACTTCATATGAATCTTCAATTACCTGGGAAGCAAATGCATACATAGTATAATTAGTTGCTTAAAATTTGGAAAAGAAAGAAAAAAGTAATATGTTTACAGATGCTATAATTTAATATGTAGAAAATAAAAACTCATAATTGAAATGTTTAAGAAAATGTGATATGGTGTAATCATTAATCTTATAGGTATAAAAATAATTTAGAATGGGAATGGGAAATATTCTGTTCACAATACCAAACTATATATACTTTGCACTAAATTCAATTGGAAGGGCAAAGGACTTATATAAAAAATCAAAGATAAAATAGTATTAATGTACATAAAATGAGGATGGAATATTTCTGAATGAAAAGCCTTAATATTGTGAAATGTTTAAAATTTTCCAGTTTTCACTGTTGTGTGTATGTATATTATATATAGTGTTATTTTAATAAAATTTCTATTTGAGTTGTAATATGATTTTAAAGCTCACATGAAAGATACCATGTTTGAAAATTACCAAATTATTATTTTAAAATTTATTTGAAAATAAGATTATTTGGTGTGGTGGACTTACAGCCTTTTTTTTAAGTTAACATCTTCCTAAAAAATGTAAATGAAATATGTGGAACTCATTAGGAACAAACTAAATGTTTTTGGAAGACAAACAGATGCATGCATATAAAAGAAATTTATATATATAATACAGTTAATTTTTTAAATTTAATAGATAAGGATCATTTAAGTTTGTTAGCATAATTTCTCTCACTGAAATAAGTACATGCCTACCTCCCACCTTTACCTATGTAAATTTATTGTATCAAATAAGTCAATGTTTATCAAATATAGATGATAAAATATAATTCTCTAAAAATTGAAGGGATCTGATTAGACAAAATAATGGTAAATTTACGTGATAGGGAAATTTAAAAATTTTGAAACTTATCTATATCAAACTTTTGTTTTATTGAGATACCTCATAGAATAAATATATTTCTGAAACCCTAATAAAATTAGCTCATCTGATTAAAATCCCATACTTTTATGATGGAAGCTGAATTCTGGAATTAAGATATTTTTTCGCTTGTGAAACAAAAAGCACTTATCCTTTTATCGCAAATGTTCTTCCTCCTTCTCCTGCCCCTAGTATTCCCTTCCTCTGCCTTTTGAAACATGTAATACCCAGGGTTTTTTTAATAGTTTTTTTTTATAATAGATTATTTTTCAGAGAAATTTTATATTCACAGCAAAATTGAGTGAAAGGTACAGGAATTTCCCATATTCTCTTCCCCCTGACCCCCCTGTGCCTGATACAGACCATGCATAGCTTCCCCAATTATCAACATCCCGCACCAGAGTGGCACAATTGCTATCACTCATGAACCTATATTGACACATCATTGTCACCCAAGGTCTGTTTGGATTCACTTTCCAGTGGATTGTGTTGTATGGGTTTGGACAAGTAAATAAAGACATGTATCCACCATTGTAGAATCATATGGAATAACTTCACCACCCTACAAATTCTCTATGTTCACCTGCTCATTCCTTCCCTCGCAATTCCTAGCAACCACTGCTATTTTTACTGTCTCTATAGTTTTGCTTTTTCAAAATGTCATGTAGTTGAGATTATATACTATGTAGCCTTTTCTTACTGGCTTCTTTCACTTCATAATATGCATTTAAGTTTCCTCCATATCTTTTCATGGCTTGATAGCTCATTTTTTTTAGCACAGAATAATAACTCATTAAAAAAATGTATCTATTTAGCCATTCACCTATTGAAGGACATCTTGGTTGCTTCCAAATTTTGGCAATTATTAATAAAGCTGCTATAAATGTTTGTGTGTAGGTTTTTCTGTGTTAATATGTTTTCACCTCCTTTTGGGTAAATACAAAGGAGCCTGATTACTGGATTGTATGATAATAATTTGTTTAGTTTTATAAGAAAATGCCAGATTATTTTCCAAAGTGACTGTACCATTTTGCATTCTTACCCAGGAATTAGTGAGAGTTGGTCATTTTATGTTTAAGTGAGGCCTTCTCTGATTTTTTCTGTGAGACATTTCCTTTCTTCAAACTCATTAAGCACTCTCTATCCTTATACTGACATCTATTATGTATGTATGTGTGTGTGTGTGTAATTTGTTTTTTGAGACAAGGTCTCACCCTGTCACCCAGGCTGGAGTATAGTGGTGCAGTGGTGCGATCTCAGCTCACTGCAGCCTCCGCCTCCTGTGTTCAAGCAGTTCTCCCACCTCAGCCTCGCAAGTAGCTGGGACCTCAGACATGCACCACCACTCTAGGCTCATTTTTTGTTTTATATATTTTGGTTGACACGGAGTTTCACCATGTTGGCTAGGCTGGCCTGGAGCTCCTGTCCTCAAGTGATCCACCCGCCTTGGCCTCGCAAAGTGCTGGGATTACAGGCATGCCCCACTGCGCCTGGCCTGACATCTATTATATGTTTTGTTAAGCATGTGCAAACCCCTCAGGGCAGGACAGAGATATGTCTCCTATCCTTTACAGTACTGCACTTGTTGCCTTGAAATTTTTTAATGAAACTAGAAAATTTGTGAATGAATTAAGAAATTCTGGTGTGTCAGACTGCCAGGCAAATGATCAAATATATATCATCACCTAACAGCATTTCGTTTTGCAAAGCTCTATACAATTACAATGTCTTATGCTAAAATTATAATCAAACAATACTCACTATTTTTACTATAATTTTTTTTCCATTTTTTCTTGGCAGTTATTTTATGGGTTAAATGCATGATTGATTTATGTGAAAGGGAATTGCATTTGACGTTATTGACTCTTTGCCCCAGCCTTTTCAGCTAGAAAAAAGCAAAGCTCTTGCTGTAACAAGTGCTGAACCTTTTCAGAATAAAATCTAATGAGGTTAGTATATATCCTTGACATTTTATTTTCAACCGAAGTGAAGGTCATAGCTGAAAGGTCACAAAGATGAATTTATACAGCAAATAAACAATGTTATTATTTTGCAAAGAAAATGCAATATTCCTGTCTTTAGCCTCTTGCATGTAAAAGGGTGTTTGTAATGCTGATTTTAGTATTCAAGTCCTGTTATCTTTTCATTTCTTATATTTTGGAATGTAGAAAGAGGAATACACCTAGCTTATCTATAAAAGACTAGTATGAAATGTGTGTATTATCATTAATATTCTAGTATTTTATTATTTGAACTTTACATTTAAGTCAAATCTACTTTGTATTTGTTGGGTACTAATTTTTTTGGTGGAAGTAGGTAATTACTCTATTTCCTTGGTAAACTTCTTTCTGACTTGAGAGTTTAGTCATACATAAGTCCCTCAAGTCTACCATCTTTGGTTTTTAACAACAAAACTGTACATTTCCAATGAAAGAATATATCAACATAAGTTTGGAAAATAAGGGGCTGAATTATAGTTAAATGGTAGAAAATCTGCCTTTTTGGGCACAATGTACAACAGGAATTCTTAACTGCTTTCATATTATATTACTAATACGTAACATGGGATTGCTCTATTAAATTTGTACCAGATCAAGACAATTTTAATAGTAAAAATAGTTTCATTTATTTAAAAAGTCATTAAACAAAGTTCAAATGCCAAAAACCATGTCAAAATGGTCACTTTATATTGTTATGTAGTTAATATATTTTAGAGCAAATATTCCAAATTTTGTAATTTGCTCCTTTTAAAAAACAAGCATAAGATAGGCATCTAACCTAGAATTTCCTTTATTTTAGATGAACTCACAAATTCGTCAGAAACCAGATTGTCTTTGGAAGACCTCTTTAGGAAAGACTTTGTGCTTCACGATCCAGAGGCTCGGTGGATCAATGGTAAGTGTATACCTTTTTAAACATTGTATTCATTTTGAGTTCTGTATAATTAAAATTTTAAAAAATGAGATGTGTAAGCTGGGCGCAATGGCTTATGCCTGTCATCCCAGCACCTTGGGAGGCCAAGGCAGGAGAATCGCTTGAACCTGGGAGGCGGACGTCGCAGTGAGCCGAGATCGCACCACTGCACTCCAACCTGGGTGACAGAGCGAGACTCCATCTCAAAAAAAAAAAAAAAAAAAAAAGATATGTGTAGTTAATATTTAATTGAAAGTGTACTTCAAAGATTACATGGGTATTATTTAAATTAAAACCTTGGTTCTTGTGAGAGAAAATCAATTCCTAAGATAGGGCGTCAATAAATTATTTGGCAAACATTGGGTTGACAGTTTTGTATCTGCTGCTCTCTCATGATCATTAGTTACATGACTTTAAGGATGTATTACATCTCTAGCACATCACTAGATAATTTTTCTTAGTTTGGCAGTGTACATTTTGGGAGCTAGTACGTAGAAATGTTAAGTGCTTCAGATTTGACAATATGATTGGTTTTTGTTATTCTCTGTGGCTTTTCTTTTTAAGCTTAAGTGTTACAAGCTAGTGAGACTCTATGCAAAATTGAAATGACTTGGAAATATATGGCACTTTGTTGTTTTTTTTTCTGGCCTGGCAAATAGGACTCCTTAGGTTCTCTTAAGTCAATCTCTGACATAAAAATAAGAAAATAAAACCACTGAGTGGCTTCATAGGTTTTGCTTTGTCTTTATGGAAGATCATAAGGGCATAATGTGTTGGTGAAAAGGAAATCAGTTTTTTAATCCTTTGAATGTTCTAATTTGACCAACCATACGAATCATTATGGTTGGATAGCTGTTAATCTTTACCCTTCACTTTATTTGGGCATAATATCTTTGCTAATTTTCAAGGCATAGAGTGTATTATTTGTATAATAGATGAAAGGAGCTTTGCCTTTTCATATAATAAAGATCATCATACTTACAGTCCATTCCTTCCTCTCTCTTACTCTACTTAAGTGTATTTATGCTGGTGAATTAAACTTTAATTTATGGAAGCTATATAAAGAGAATGTAATTTAACCCATGAGGGCAAAGGCCAAATCACGTGTGTTTACTTGACACTGATATGTCTCCTGGAGATCTGCAGGCACTCGAGATTGGTTTTTTGAATAAATGAATGAATGATTTTAATTGATGTGCAGTCTCATTTTCACATAAACTTAAATTTTAATTGAAATCAATTGGAAGATAAGTGTGTATTGTGATGATATTACGGATAAAGAACACAAGGTAGCGTTTTTCTTAATGAATCTGTATATTTTTATTTTGAATTGTTTATAAATTTGAGGCTAGTCATATTTTTGCCTTTGTACTGTGATTATTTCACATATACACTATAATGAGTGCTATGACTAAAGAAGGCTAATAAAAAAGATATATTATCACAAAAAATTGTCCAAATACACAAATCTCTCATAAATAATTCTTCTAATGTGTGATTATAATTATGACAATCACCTGTTTACTCTTTAGCAAATATTTTCTATTGAGAGAAATGACAAAATGAAAGTTGCTAGGTTTTTTTAAACAGTAGTATTATGAGTTGTTAGATTTGAAATGCTGAATAATCTTGTTTTATTCACCATGTTTTTGGACAAATTATAGACATTTTGTAGTCTTTGACTTTGGAAAACATGAAAAATTATGGGTCTCATCTCCCTTCTCAGGTTAGCTTGGACTATTTAGAGGCATTTACTCCTGTGTATAACTGACTCTGTGATATTGAAGCTCCGAAGGACAGGACAGATATTTAAGTAGTGAACTGCATGCTAAATTAAAACATATTTCAATATGTAGGACACAGATTCTACTCTTATACTTCATAGGTTACCAAAATAATATATTTGGAGTTTATCATTTTTCAAGTAATTTCTTTATTAATCATTGGTTAAATTTGATCCTAAGAAGGCATCTGGGACAAAGCTGCAGTGTTATTATAATGTTCTAAGTAATACCTAAATATATAATTTTTATAAAGAATTTGACATAAAGACAACTCTTTAAATTGGAATAAACAGAACCTAAGCTCTGAAAGAATGCAGTCTTTATAAATACCATTGAAGGAACTGTCTCAATGCCTGTAAATTGTGTGCACTGAGTTACTTTTTAAGTATAGAAATGGATTTGTGCTTTTATCCAACCCAGATCTTTCTGGCAAGTGCTAGATACTTGGCCTATTTACGTATTCCTCACATAGCCTGGAAATTCAATGGGAAATATATGAGTAGGATGTGTAACCTTGGCCTCATTATCAACAGTTATATCTAAATGTAACCTGTGAGCTTTTTCTTTATTCTCAAGTGATATCTCAACAGGTTTTCTTTGTACATAAGTCACTTGAAGGAGTTCGAGCTCAGCTTATTTGGAAGCATCATTTAATTCTTGGAGGTCATCATAGAAGTGCTTAATGCATTATTGGTCAAGGGGAAGGAGGGAGTCTAGACGGCCCTGACATGTGTAGGTTATAGTGAGGCGATGCCATTCATTATGCTTGGTCTCAAAAAATATGTCTGAGAATATCATTGCAGTCTTGGATGGGTGCCCCTGTTCATGGTTAGCTTAACAACGGCCTTACCCCAAGTCTGCTCATATCTTTGAAATCTACATTTTTATAGCATCTTCATTCTAGCAATGTCACCTTGAAATTTGAAAACCCATCTTATTTAAAATTATTCATTCTATCCACACACATTTGATAATCAATTAATCACCAAAGAAAGATCTAACATTGAGTGCCTTCTATTGAGACTCTGTGATCGATGCTTTATGTACATATTTCACAGGACTGCATATGACATTAAAGTTAACCCCAGAAAACTGAGGCTTAACTCAGAAACTTATCCGAACACACACCTAATAAAAGGCAGAGGCTGCTTTACTCATTATGCTTAAGTATAAAACTTGACCTCTTTCATTGTTTGACTCTGATGTGTCATCCTCATATCTAACATATTTATCAAGCACCTCACTGACAATCTCATTTTAACAGACCTCATTGCTGTCGTAGGGTGGAAAGGTATGAAAGCCTTCCTCACCCATCATAAAGGTCACAGCCAACACTGCTGTAACAAAAGACCAGTTAAAAAGAGAAAAGCATAACAAATTTATTTAATGAAAGTTTTATGTCACTTGGAAGACTTTAGAAATGAAGAATCAAAGGCCTAGGGAAAACTGTCCATTTGTATGCTTAGGTTAAATAAAGTACGGACAGTGTATTGAAGTGTGACTGGACAAAAAGGGTATACTCTAATGATAATAAAATGAGGGAGAAACCCAGCAAAGCTTACCTGTTCAGATCCTTCTTGGCCTCCCTGTGTAGCATTTCATCCTGCCAGATATAAGGCAGAACTCCCCCGGAAATAGGGTCTTATGATCTATTATCTGAAAGGTAGGTCAGTGCATTTCCTTGTGACAGCTCCTACACAGAAAAGCAGAGGAAGGTTAAAATATTTTTAAATCTTATGGTTTGCTTGGAAAGAGGGATGCTAGTTTCTTTTATTATTGTTATTATACTTTAAGTTCTAGGGTACAAGTGCAGAACATGCAGGTTTGTTACATAGGTATACATGTGCCATGGTGGTTTGCTGCACCCATCGTCCCATCATCTACATTAGGCATTTCCCCTAATGCTATCCCTCCCCTAGTCCCCTACCCCCTGACAGGCCCTGGTGTGTGATATTCCCCTCCCTGTGTCTATGTGTTCTCATTGTGCAACTCCCACTTATGAGTGAGAACGTGCTTTGTTTGTTTTTCTGTCCTTGCGATAGTTTGCTGAGAATGATGGTTTCCAGCATCATCCATGTCCCTGCAAAGGACATGAACTCATCCTTTTTTGTGGCTGCATAGTATTCCATGGTATATATGTGCCACATTTTCTTTATCCAGTCTACTATTGATGGGCATTTGGGTTGGTTCCAAGTCTTTGCTATTGTGAGTAGTGCTGCAATAAATATACATATGCATGTGTCTTTATAGTAAAATGATTTGGGAGTAATGGGATTTCAAGTTTTTGTAACCTTTCCTGGGGTAGAGGAATCTGGTTTCTATTACTTGCTTCAGGGATGGCAGAGAGGTAGGAGACAGGAAGGCAGAAGGAGGTCAGATACAGACTTTGCTTCTGAGACTGCTCAGAGGCCTTCCAATATCTTAGTCAGTTCAACGTACTCAGCATGCCACCATGCCATACTTGGAGGTATCATTTTCTGAGTCCCAACACTATTAATTTTTTCATGTTGAATACTACAATAATATGTTTATTTCCCCAGGTACATTCATGTAGTGGTAACTTATACAGTCACTAAAACTAGAGTTTATACACATGTTTATTGACTTGATCATGATCTAGAAAAGTGAACAAAGTAACTTCAAAACAGCATTGATAGTATGTGATATCACATTGTCTATTGTGTAACAGTGATTGTCTCCAGATTATCCCTTTCTTTTTACTTATTTTGTTTTTTCTCGATTTTTTTCAATAAATGCATGTGTTTACATAGTTTTTTTTTATAATTTTAACTTTTTATTTTAGATTTAGGGAGTGCATGTGCAGGTTTGTTACATGGGTATCCTGCAACGTTAGCACTCTCAGGATATTCATTTTGAGCTATTAGATAAAATCAATCAAGTGCTATTTTATTTTTAAACTTTGTTTTCCACTGTGTCAGAAGACAATTCCAAAATTTATCTGATGGAGTATAAACAATTAAAATTATCATTTGATAAAAAAAAGTTGTAAATTTTAAATACATTTGGGTTCCAGTGGACAAACATACCATCATGTAATGAGATTTTACCGTGCAGCTAGTGTGTCCTTTACTCACCCCATGAGTTTGACAACACCTGCTCAGTGATATTGGTCCACTTACCATTTGTTATGAACCTGCAGCAATATCAAATTGCTATGAAAATTTTTAAATGTGTACCCACAATTAAACCTACCTGCTCTGGACCAGTGGTCAACCCTTCACCAACTGGCTGTAGTAAGATAACAACACTCTTAGCACAGCCCTTTCCTAGGAGACTATAAACGATGAGGAATAACTGTCAGTATTCAATGAGTGCTCCATAAATAGTTTCATTATAATGAGAACAGTGTATATGTAATGGGATAGAAGTTGTTTCACATTTCTTTTGCAAAATGGCATGCTGGGATAAATGATAATATGTGAGGCTTTGGGTTTTATTTTGATCTTATTGGACTCATGTTGGAAAAAAATAAACTCACTTGTTACATGAGATTCCAACACAGATATTTTAACCTGCTGTCTTTGTAACGTGTGACAGTATAATATGTGGAAATGGGAGACTCATTAAATCAAGGTAAGCCATGGCCTTTCAGCAAGTTATCTAAGCCTCTTAAGGCTTGGTTTCTTCATTCAGAGTGAGGACATTAGTGCCATAGCTAGAAGCATAATACAAAGTAAGTGAGCAAAAATATGTAAAAAGTGAAGATAAAAGGTAAAAGTTAAAAAAAGAAAAGAAAAAAACTATAAATGAAAAGTCAAGGTCTGTAGCCTTGTGGATCTTCAAATGGTAGCGATTCATAGAACTGATGTTAGAGATGCTCTGAACACCTGACATTTGTTAATAAATGCGCTGGGAGGTCTCATTCTCATAATATATGCAGGATATTGAAGAGGCAGTGAAAAGTCACTATTGTAGCCTGTATGAAAAACAAGAAACATTATTGTAATATATCAATAATATTTACAGTAATTAGGGGAACTGTAAATAGGAAAACTAAACAAATACATCTTTGTTGTTTCTTGCTTGTTTGTTTGACACTAATTTGTCATACTAGAATTATTGTCCATCAACTTCACTTGGTAGAGCTGCAGAAGTTGTTGTGTTTCTCAGTGCACAGGGAGCTACTTCTAACTCCAAAGACATCATTACCCTCCCTTTAGCCTATATTCAGCCCCCAGTCAAAATTATCTTATGTTTATCTTATTTTGTATCTTCGTGACCAAAGTGTTATTTTTTATAATCATCAACCAAACTGATAGTTAAATAAAATAGAGTTGAATTTATATTCATGAGGCTCTTGAAGATAACACGTATTTTTCTTGCAACATAATTTATAAAGATAAAACCTTGCATAGATTCTAGATGCACACAATTAGGTATATGGTCAAATAAATCAATTTGCATCTTTTTAATGGAAAACTAAACAGCTGTAAAAATTAATATTTAAAATATTAGTGACATTGAAATATGTGCAGATAATATATTAATTGAAAATAGCACAATATGGAATTATATATATAGTGTATTCACAATTGCATTACTTGCATATACACACAAGTATATGCAAAGAAAATAATACCTGAATTCAATATGCCAAAATATTAAATAATTTTCTGTTAGAGTGATTGAGTTGTTTTTATTTTTTCCCTTTCTGTCTATATTTTCCAAATTTTCAACAGGCATTCTGCTGTTTCCTACTATGGCAATTTTATGTACTAACTACGGATATTCAAACTTTTGTTTGAAATTCAAACCTAACAAGTAAATGGTTACTAAAATTCTCATTATGGTAGATGCATTCAGCTAGACAAATATTAATTTTGTTATTCTGCCTGTGCCTTTTTTCTCAGAGATCTGTATGAAAAGGAGGTACAGAGAGGAGCGTGAGGTTACTGAACCTGGGAGAATGAGAATGTTCTTAGCACAGCAATGACTATTAGACTTAAGAGGCATGGATTCTTATAACAGCAGTTTCACTTCCTTCTTTCCCAATAGATTGAGACATAATATTTCCTGTAGTTTATTATGTTCTTTTTTCTTCCACTAATCCAAACCTCTGCAACATGCAATTTATCTATATTACAAACCTAAATAGTACCCTAGCCCCCAAAGGGTTTTTTTAAAAAGTCAAAAATAACAAATGTTGATGAGGCTGTGGAGAAAAGAGAATGCCTATATGGTGTTGCTGGAAATGTAAATTAGTTCAGCCACTATGGAAGGCAGTTTGAAGATTTCTCAAAGAACTTACAGCAGAACTAGCATTGGACTAGCAATCTTATTAATGGGTATATACCCAAAGGAAAATAAACTTTCTACCAAAAAGACCCATACATTTGCATGTTCTTTGCAGCACTATTCATAATAGCAAAGACCTGAAATCAACCTAGGTGCCCCAAAATGTAGGAGCGGATAAAGAAAATGTGGTACATATACACCATGGAATACTGTGCAGCCATAAAAATGAACAAAAGCATGTATTTTGCAGCAACATGGATGCAGCAGGAAGCCATTATCCTGAGTGAATTAATGCAGAAACAGAAAGCTAAATATCACACATTCTCACTTATAAGTGGGAGCTAAATCTTGAGGATGGGCAGACGTAACGATAGGAACAACAGGCATTAGTGACTCCAAAGGTGGGGAGCGGAGGAGGGGAACAAAGCCTGAAAAACTTCCTTTTGGGTACTACGTTCACTATCTGGGTAACTGGGATCAATGAAGTCCAAATCTCAGTATCATACACTATACCTTGTAACAAATCCACACATATACCCCCAAATCTAAAATAAAGATTAAAATTTTAAAAATCAAATAAAAAGTAAAAACACATAGGAGGCTATTGAAATAATGACATACCTAGTTCCTGATTCACAGACCAGAGACTTGTAAATGAAATTTGGAATGTAAATCATGGTTATCAAGGCTGACTTTTCTTTTCAGAGTTATATATGACAAAGTATCTTCCTATCAAGAGTAGATAATTTCCTACTAAAACTAAACAAATGCTTAAAAAGCATACCATGAAGCATATTTACTTCTCTCCAAATGACCAAAAATGTTTTATTTATTGCTATGTTGTTTGTAAAATTGTGCTTTTACCAAAGTTTAGATTAAATTTCATCTGTATTAAAACTGTTTGAAATCAATAAAATGGAAATATCTACTATAAAAAATCATACTGTGGCAATCTTACATACTAACTACGATATTCAAACTTTTGTTTGGAATTTAAATCTAAATAGTTTTCTTCAAGAAAATATTTTTAAGATTTCAGTTTGTCTAAAAATGACAATACTTAAACTAAACACCAAGAGAGAGAAAAGGGATTTACTGATAAAATTCAGTGTTAACATTTAGGAACAAAAAAGTATGTAAGAAAAAAATATATTTCTATCACCTAGGTATGCAATGATCAAAGTATTTAAAGAGAATTTGAAACACAAACTAAACTTTAGAATAAAGAAGCTAAATATTTATGTTACCACTTATTTCTTGAAATATAAAACTATATTTTGATTTTTAAAATAAGAAAAAAAAGCTTGGGGAAATGGGATGAAAGTTATGTTCAGAGTTCATCAACAAGCATTTATTGAGCTTCATATATGTGCTCTGCACAGAGCTTCATATATTCCAGATGGAATCTGTTTACATTTGAAAAGTTTGTAGTAAAATATCTGGTGTCCTCATAGTCCTTTGATATTCTATACAATTGTTGGTCTTGGCCTTGATGGCCCAGGAAATCTGTTTGTCAATACAAATATAGAATAATAGATACATTGACATTGACATCTATCTTTCCATCTATATATCCATCTATCCTTTTATCTATCCAACATGTATTGAAAAGATTGAAGCACAGCCAAACATTTTTCTAGATACAAAGATATAAAGGTGAATAAACACAGTCCCTTTGATCAACGACATTATGAATATAAAGGGTTTTTTTCCTCATTGAGCACAAATCTTTCCAGTTGTCTCAGGCTTAAAAGTAAAATTGTAATCAAAAGGCTGTGAATGGGACAGAAAGTAGACATAACTGAAGAGTTGCAAGAAATACTCAGTCCAATTACGATGAAGTTTTATTAACCTTCTCCAAAATCAAAAACACATCTTCACATCCTACATCTCTCTCTTTACTATGATGCAGGGTACACATGGCACATTTTATTTTTTTGAGCTGCTGTGTACGCCCTGCCTCTCTTTTTATTTGATACAGTCTTCACTTACATATGGTAATGATCATGACTAATATATACATGTACCACTGACATGTTCAAAAAAAAAATATAATTATGGTACCCAGAGACTATAGAAACTAGATCAAAATAATAGGCCTAAAACAATTAGGTGAACAATAATTAGGTGATCCATTTCTGGGTAATTATTTTTTAAAAACAGATGTTGCAACTAGGAGAAATCGGTTTGAGTTAAGAACGGTTGGAGTCGTCTTTATGGAAAAGATAAAATTCAGTCGCAGTCTAGAGGGCAGATGAGCCCAGGGGATGAATGAAGATATTGTTGGGAGAACAAGGATGTGTTATGACAAAATCACAGAAATTAGCATGGTGTGTAAGTTTAACGGTAAGGAAAATGCTGTGTATGTGTGTTCGGGGCCTCTCTATGTATAAAAGTAATGGAAAATAAAGTTGAGTAACTCAGTATTGGCATATGATTAGAATATGTATATTTGATCATTTTACTGTAATTGTTATACTTTGATCTCCTTTAGCAGATTAACCCTTTATTAGCTCTTAATTTGAAACAGAAGAATTTAAAATTGCTCTGATAAATGTCAGCTATTTTGTGGGAATGGGAGTTGTTAGTAGTAGGAATTGAAGTGGGAGATATTAGTAATAGGAATTTACCTAATACGTGTTCAGTAAGTCAAAATTTGCATGTATGTTTCTACTTTTCTAGGACACTTCTACATATGCTATTTATTTGCATTTTTTTGAAAACCCTTCTTAGGGAGGCAGGATGGGCATTATTTTTGTTTTATACATGAGTAACTTGAGAAGCAGGTTTTTTCCACTTCTCTCAGATTCACTCAGTAATAAGTTCTGGCTAGAAGCCACATCTTTCATGTTTAATGTTTGGTGGAAACTAGAGTAGAGAAAACGTTTCAAGTGAATTTTTTTTATTATCATGAAACTAACATTTGACAGTGTTTATAAATTAATTTTTAAAACACATAGATTTAAGGAAAACAATATTAAAGGAAAAGTAGATAAGAATAAGGAAAGATTTTCTTTGTAATTGTATATGAATGTTTCCATTTTATTGGAATGTTTAGATATTTTTAGAAAATGTAATTGTTCTTATATGATTGATTTTACATGTAAAAAAAGAAGTCATTGCAGATAATCATAATAAGAAACTGAAACTTAGGACATATTTTCATTTTTTAAAAAAATGTATTCTTTCTTGTCAACTTTTATTTTAGATTCAGGGGTACATGTTGTTACCTGGGTATACCAGGTTGTTACCTGGGTGTGTTGTATGATGCTGAATTTTGCTGTATGATTGAATATGTCACCCAGGTAATGAGCATAGTACCCAACAGATAGTTTTTCAAAGTTTGTCTCCCACATTCCCTCCCTACCCCCTCTTATTTTCACCAGTGTCTAACATTCCCATCTTTATGTCTATGGGTACCCAATGTTTAGTTCCCACTTTGCTTGTGGTATTTGGTTTTTTGTTTTGGTTTTTAGTTTTAGTTTTTTTGTTTCTGCATTAATTAGCATAGGATAATGTCTCAAAATGCATCTATGTTGTTGTAAAATGACATAATTTGGCCTTTTTATGGCTGCATAGTATTCCATGGTATGTATGTACCACATTTTCTTTATTTCTTTTTTTTTTCCTTTAAGTTCATGTGCAGAACGTGCAGGTTTGTTACATAGGTATACATGTGCCATGGTGGTTTACCGCACCTACTGATTTGTCCTCTAAGTTCCCTCCCCTCGCCCCCCACCCAACAATAGGCCCTGGTGTGTGTTGTTCCCCTCCCTGTGTCCATATGTTCTCATTGTTCAACTCCCACTTATGAGTGAGAACATGTGGTGTTTGGTTTTCTGTTCCTGTGTTAGTTTGCTGAGGATGATGGCTTCCAGCTTCATCCATGTCCCTGCAAAGCACATAATCTCATTCCTTTTTATGGTTGCGTAGCATTCCGTGGTATATATGTACCACATTTTCTTCATCCAGTCTATCACTGTTGGGCATTGAGGTTGGTTCCATGACTTTGCTGTTGTAAATAGTGCTGCAATAAACATACGCTTGCATGTGTCTTTATAGTAGAATGATTTATAATCTTTTGGGTATATATCCAGTAATGGGATTGCTGGGTCAAAGGTTATTTCTGGTTCTAGATCCTTGAGGAATTGCCATACTGTCTTCCACAATGGTGGAACTAATTTACATTCCCACCAACAGTGTAAGTAATTGTAAAAGTGTTCCTATTTCTCCACAGCCTCAGCAGCATCTATTGTTTCTTAACTTTTTAATAATTGCCATTCTGACTGGCATGGGATGGTATATCATTGTGGTTTTGATTTGCATTTCTCTAATGATCAGTAATGTTGACCTTTTTTTCATATGTTTGTTGGCCGTGTACATGTCTTCTTTCGAGAAGTGTCTGTTCTTAGCCTTTGCCCATTTTTGATGGGGTTGTTTTTTTCTTGTAAAGTTGTTTAAGTTCCTTGTAGATTCTGGATATTAGACCTTTGTCAGATGGGTATATTGCAAAAATTGTCTCCCATTTTGAAGGTTGCCTGTTCACTCTGATGATGGTTTCTTTTGCTGTGCAGATTCTCTTTAGTTCAATTAGATCCCATTTGTCAATTTTCCTTTTGTTGCAATTGCTTTTGGCATTTTTGGTATGAAGTCTTTGCCCATGCCTATGTCCTGAATGATACTGCCTAGGTTTTCGTCTAGGGTTTTTAGTATGTTGGGTTTTATATTTAAGTCTTAAATCCATCTTGAGTTAATTTTTGTTTAAGGTGTGAGGAAGGTGCCCAGTTTCAGCTTTCTGCATATGGCTAGTCAGTTTTCACAGCAACATTTATTGAATAGGAGATCCTTTCCCCATTGCTTATTTTTGTCAGGTTTGTAAAAGATCAGATGGCTGTAGATGTGTGGTGTTATTTCTGAAGTTTCTGTTCTGTTCCATTGGTCTATATGTCTGTTTTTGTAGCAGTACCATGCTGTTTTGGTGACTGTAGCCATGTAGTGTAGTTTGAAGTCAGGTAGTGTGATGCCTCCAGCTTTGTTCTTTTTGTTTAGGATTGTCTTGGCTATACAGGGTCTTCTTTGATTCCATATGAAATTTAAAGTCGTTTTTTCTTCTTCTGTGAAGAAAGTCAATGGTAGTTTGATGGGAATAGCATTGAATCTATAAATTACTTTGGGCAATATGGCCATTTTCACAATGTTGGTTCTTCCTGTCCATGAGCATGGAATGTTTTCCATTTGTTTGTGTCCTCTCTTATTTCCTTGAGCAGTGGTTTGTACTTCCCCTTGAGGAGCAACTTCACATCCCTAGTTAGCTATATTCCTAGGTATTTTATTCTCTATATAGAAGTTGTGAATGGGAGTTTATTCATGATTTTGCCCTCTGCTTGTCTATTGTTGGTGTAAAGGAATGCTTGTGGTTTTTGCACATTGATTTTGCATCCTCAGACTTTGCTGAAGTTGCTTATCAGCTTAAGGAGTTTTGGGCTGAGATGATGGAGTTTTCTAAATGTAGATTCATGTTGTCTGCAAACAGACACAATTTGACTTCCTCTCTTCCTATTTGAATACCCTTACTTCTTTCTCTTGCCTGATTGCCCTGGCCAGTACTTCCAATACTATCTTGAATAGGGGTAGTGAGAGAGGGCATCCTTGTTTTTAACCAGTTTTCAAAGGGAATGCTTCCAGATTTTGCCCATTCAATATGATATTGGCTAGGGGTTTGTCATAAATAGCTCTTATTATTTTGAGATATGTTGCATCAATAGCTGTTTTATTGAGAGTTTTTCTTTATCCAGTCCACTGTTGGTAGGATCCTTGGTTGATTCCATGTCTTTGCTATTGTAAAGGGTGCTACAATGAACATATGGGTGTCTTCTTGGTAGAATGATTTATTTTCCTTTGGGTATATACCAAGTAATGGGATTGCTGGATTAAATGGTAGTTCTATTTTTAGTTATTTGAGAACTCTCCTAACTGCTTTCTATAGTGGCTGAACTAATTTACATTATCACCAACAATGTTTAAGTGTTTTTGAACCATTGCCCCTTTCCTCTCTCCCATCTTTTGTATTATCCAGCATCTATTGTTCCCATCTTTATGTTCATGTGTACTCAATATATATTTCCCACTATAAGTGTGAAAATGCAGTATTTGATTTGTTCTTTCTTTATTAATTCTCTTAGGATTATGTCCTAATGGATAATGGATAGTGACCTAATAGCCTAATGGATAATGGTCCAAGTTCAGAGTCTCATCTGAGACAAGGGAAATCCCTTCCACCTAGTGCCTGTAAAACCAGAACAAGTTAGTTACTTCCAAGATACAATGGAGGTACAGGCATTGGTTAAATATACCCATTCCAAATGAGAGAAATTGGTCAAGGGCCTACAGGCCCCATACAAGTCCGAAATTCAATAAGGCAGTCATAAACCTTAAAGTTCCAAAATGATCTCCTTTGAACCCATGTCTCACATCCAGGTAACACTGATGCAAGAGGTGGGCTTCCACAGACTTGGGCAGCGCCACTCCTGTGGCTTTGCAGGCTACAACCTCCCTCCTGGATGCTTTCATGGGCTGGTGTTGTGTGTGCAGCTTTTCCAGGTGCACAGTACAAGCCGTCAGTGGATCTAACATTCTAAGGTCTGGAGGATGGTGGGCCCCTTCTCACAACTCCACTAGGCAGTGCCCCAGTGGGGCCACTATGTGGGGGCTCCTACTCCACATTTTCCTTCTGCTCTATCCTAGCAGAGGTTCTCTATGAGGACTCCACCCCTGCAGCAAACTTCTGCCCGGACATCTAGGCATTTCCATACATCCTCTGAAATCTAGGCAAAGTTTCCAAAACTCAATTTTTGTTTTCTGTGCACCCATAGGACCAACACCATGTGGAAGCTTCCAAGGCTAGGGATTTGTATCCTCTGAAGCAACATCTTGAGCTGTACCTTGGCCCCTTTTAGCTAGGTTTGAAGAGGCTGGGACACAGTACCGAGGCTATACACAGCAGGGGGGCCTTGGACCCGACCCAGGAAACCATTTTTTTCTCCTAGCCCTCTGTGCCTGCGATGGGAGGGGCTGCTGTGAAGGTCTCTGACATGCCCTGGAGACATTTTTTCCATTGTCTTGGTGATTAACATTGGGCCCCCTGTTGCTTATTCAAATTTCTGCAGCCTGCTTGAATTTCTCCCCAGAAAATGGGTTTTTCTTTTCTATCATATCATCAGGCTACAAATTCCCAGGCTTTTTTGTTTGCCTCCTCTTGAGCACTTTGTCACTTAGAAATTTCTGCTGCCAGATATGCTAAATTGTCTCACTCAGATTCAAAGTTTCACATGTCTCTAGGGCAGGGGCAAAATGCTGCCAGTCTCTTTGCTAAAGCAAGAGTGACCTTTACTCCAGTTCCCAACAAGTTTCTTGTCTCCATCTGAAACCACCTCAGCCTGGACTTCATTTTTTACATCACTATCAGCATTTTGGTCAAAGCCATTCAACAAATCTTTAGGGAGTTCCAAACTTTCTCACATCTGTCTGTCTTCTGAGCCCTCCAAGTCTCTGGGAAGTTCCAAACTTTCCCACATTTTCCTATCTTCTTCTGAGCCCTCCAGACTGTTTTAACCTGTGCCTGTTACCCAGTTTCAAAGTTGCTTCCACATTTTGGGTATCCTTATAGCAGCACCCCACTCTACCAGTACAAATTTACTGTATAAGTCTGTTCTCACGCTGCTATGAAGAGATACCTGAGACTGAGTAATTTATAAAGAAAAGAGGTTTAATTGCCTCCTCACAGTTCAGCATGCCTGGGAAGGCCTCAGGCAACTTACAATTATGGTAGAAGGGGAAGCAAACATATCCTTCACATGGCAGTACCACGGAGAAGTGCTAAGCAAAAGAAGAAAAGCCCCTTATAGAACCTTCAAATCTCATGAGAACTCACTCACTATCACAAGAATAGCATGGATGTAACCACCCCCATGATTCAATTACCTCCCACCGGATCCCTCCCGTGGCACATGGAGATTATGGAAACTACAATTCAAGATGAGATTTCACTGGGGATGTTGTTGCATATGAGATGGGTTTCTTGAAGATAGCAGATGGTTGGGTCTAGCATTTCATCCAACTTGCCACACTGTAGCTTTCAAGTAGGGTGTTTAGATCATTTGCATTCATCGTTAATAGTGATATGTGAGAATTTGACCCTGTGATCATGTTATTACCTGGTTGTTTTGTGGACTCGATTGTGTAGTTGCTTTATAGAGTCTGTGAACTATGCATGTGTGTATGTTTTTGTGGAGGCAGGTATTGTTCATTTGCAGGTTTAGAACTCCCTTAAAGACCTCTTGTAAGACTGTTTTGGTGATAATAAATTCCCTTAGTGTTTACTTCTCTGGAAAGGATTTTATTTCTCCTTTGCTTATGAAGCTTAGTTTGACAGAAGATGAAATTATCTGAAATTTTTTTAATGATATGAAAATAGACCTACAATCTCTTTTTGTTTGTAAGGCTTCTGATGACAATCCTGCTGTTATTTTGATGGGGTTCTTTTTGTAATAGACCTCACCCTTTTCTTTAGCTGCCTTTAAGATTTTTTCTTTCACACTGACTTTGGAAAATCTATTGAATATGTGCCTTAGAGATGGTCTTCTTATATCTCATAGGGGCTCAACAAATTTCTTGAATTTGTGAGTTGACCTCTTTCATGAGATTGGGTAAATTTTTATGAAATGTATTCTCAAATTTGTTTTCCAAGTTGCTTACTCTCTTTCTCTCACAGGAATGCTATTGCATAATAGGCTTGGTTTATTTACATAACCCTGTATTTCTTGGAGGTTTTCTTTCTTTAAAATTTTTTTTAATTTATATTTGTCTTACTGAATTGGTTAAAAGGACCAGTATTTTCATTCTGAGATTATTTCCTCAGCATTGTCTATTCTATTTTTAATGCTTCTAATTATATTTTTTAATTTCTCTAGTAAGTTTCTCAATTCCAGAAGTTCAGTTTTGTTTTTTCTTAAAATGCTTGTGTTGTCTTTCTACTCTTGGATTATTTTACTGCTGTCTCGGATTGGGTTTCAGCTTTCTCTTGAATCGCATTGAGCTTCCTTGTTACCAAGATTCTGAATTCTATGTCTGTCATTTCAGCCATTTCAATTTGGTAAGGATCCATTGCTGGAGTGCTAGTGTGATTGTTTTGAGGTGAGGAGATACTCTGACTTTTTGAATTGCCAAAGTCCTTGCACTGATTCCTTCTTATCTGAGACGGTTAGTGTTATTTTATCTTTCAGAAGTTGCTGTCATTTGGATGAGGCATTTTGTTTTTATATTCTTTTTCTCTCTGGAGGGTGTGACTGTAGTGAATGTTTTGTATTGTTAATTGGCTTTGTTTCTGGGTGCTTTCAGAGGGTTAAGCCTCTGTACAGGTTATTTAATTATAGCTAGATCTCTACATTGTATTTCACAGGCAGTGTGTGGAAGGCATTTTTGTTTGGTGGTGTAATTCAGACTGCGTTCCATTAGATGGCATTTAAGAATAAGAGTCAGCAGGTATGTTCTTATTCAACTGTGTGCCTTTTTTGTATTTCAGTGCATTTGTGTAGTGTTCCAGGTTGGAGGAGTTGGGGGGAATCAGGGGATGACTCTCTCACCAAGTTTTCATTCCTGGGACTTGGGGGAGCTCCCTGTAGTCTCTGGTGCTGTGCCCACATTTCTTTAGCTCCAAGGGAGGCCTAGGCTGGCAGTGCTGTTTCCTCCCATGGAGTGGCCTGAGCCAAAGGTTAGGTTGGCAGGAGACCCGTAGTCCCCTAGGGGCCTGCTATACCTCTGTACTTGACAGAGTCAGAGAGGGTTGTGGGGTATGTCTGCTGGTGGTCTGTTGATTCAGTCGGTCAGAGGTGGAGGATCCCAGGAAGGGCAGTGTTGCTGTGGGTGTGCAGCTGGTGTGGTACCCAGGGCCTAGAGTTTTTTGCCCAGAGATTGCTGTCTGGACTTCCCAGCTTGTGCTTGACTGATCAGGTCTCCTTCCAGTGTCTGTCCCAGTACTGAGCTTGCCCAGCTAGTTTTGTCCCAAGCCTTTTGTTCTCCGATTGCTTGTCTGTTAGGTGCTGCAGGGCATGGAGCTCCCTCAGGCAGAGGCTGAGGATGGCAGATAGGCCACACCCTTCCTAGATTGGTCTTCCAGAGCATGGTATACCCAGCTGCTGTGCCATCCCATGATCCCACACCTCAGTCTTCTCTGTGGTCTGAGAGTGAGGGCTCCTCTCCTGCTTGAGCTCAAGATCTCAGCTCAATACCCCTGAGCCGTGTGTTCAAATTCTAGGGAGTTGAGACCAGGCATGCAGCTTTGTCCTTCTGCCCATCTGGGTCAGATACTACCTGTTCTGCGGGAGGGCAAAGCAATTCCAGACTAATGGCGAGACACTCAGGTGGGGCAGTAGAGGTTGCATTGTCGGCATGCTCTTGATGGAGTGGTCAGGCAGGGGCTTTGAGGGTGGTCAATGGACAAGGGGATGTGCAGACCAGACATGCCCCTTTCCCATGGGAAAAACAGCCCTGTTTCCTGCACCCCCTCATGCAAAATCTTCTGAGTTCTTCTCAGATTTGAGCTCTGCCTCTGCTTACTCTCCAAGCAGTTCCCCTGCCGATTCAAATGTTTTTTGGGGTCACAGGATCTCTCATAGCTAGGATCTCAGAGGTCTGTGGCAGGAGTGTGGTGTCCCGCAGTTCCTTTATTCACTTCTTCCTTAGGACCTGTTAAGGGCTGAGAGCCAGTTCTGGTGCTCAGCAACTTTGTGCAGCTTCCTCCCTCTTCATCCTCAGTGTTTGTGTTGCCTCTCTGTGGACTTTCAGTTTTCTCCCAGAGGATCTGCTTGAGGTGTGATGGTTCACTGGATATTTTGGTTTCTCTTGGTTGGAGAGTTGCTTCTTGGCTGCATCTAGTCAGCTATGTTGGCCCCCCAACTCCAAATTTTCATATTAACCTTTTAATTCAACTTGCTTTGTTTTTGCATGTATGTTTGTGTGTGTATGTTTGTGTGTGTATGTTTTGTGTGTATGTTTTTGTGTGTATGTTTTGTGTGTATATTTGTGTGTTTGTGCATTTCTTTATGAATGGCTAAATTTACTTAATCAGCTTGGTTATACAGTCAATTCGAATGAGCCATTGAGAACTTTGGATAACTATCACTGGTTTCTATTGAATAAACAAGTATTAAACATGTAGGTGCATTCCAAAATGTCTTTAGCAAGGAAATTTCTAGAGATAACATTCCTTATCATTAAATGGCTAAGATTCTATATGGTAAGTTATGTTTTGTAAGTGGGGCAACTAAGGCCAGATACCATGCTCTGCATTTTTAGTTTATTATATCTAATGTTTATAGTTTTCTAACTTAGGTAGATATATGCTTATTTTATAAATGAAGAGCTTGAGTTTAAAGCAAATAGGTGACTTGTTCAAGAACACAGAGATAAATTGAATCTATACTTTTTTTTAACTTATATGTATAATAGAAAAAATCCATAACAAAAAGCTTTATATAACTGGCAGGTGACGTTTTCCAACTTTTGGTTAAGCTGAGTAACAAACAGTGAGTTCCCCATTTCTGCTAATGTTTTAGAGAGGTTGGGTGATCATGTGATAAAGATATATTAGTGAGATTCATATAGTGGATACGAAATTATTAAAAAATAACCTCTAAGTTCAACTTCAATTCTAATATTTTATCAGTTTATCGCCATGTCAACATAAAGGTACAGTTGAAGCTACTGTTTTAATTTTTCCTTGTTTTAGGAAACCAGTTGATACATTGTTCTAGACCTTTCCTAGGGAATGGTGTCAGCTTTCACAGAAAGTTGTCTGCTTTTCATTTCCAGTCAAGAAAACTCTAGTGTTTGACACATAGCTCTTTGCTCTTTGATTTGATTGGCCATATGGAGTTGTTAAAACATTTAAAAGCTGATCTCAATTGGACTTTCAGTTGATAACACCTTGGTATCCTCTTTTGTGCAGTCATAACCCATGCCAGTTTTCATGAGCTTGAACATTCATTACTGGGTTCATGACCCAAGCCATTAGCCCATCACTGCCATGCACTTGTCAACAGCATCTGAAAGCATGAAGCTTAAACCTATCTGGTCTCTGGTGTTATTCAATTTGTGAGTGAAAAAATCACACACTACCTAGTTAATGTGTGTATATATTTTTCCCTTCTCCTTTGAATTTGAATGTTCTCTGGGTTTTCTACCATTACCAGTAATGCTAATTATTTAATTTGTCTCTGTCACCCACATCTGTGATAAAATAGTTTGTTTGCACATTGTACTCCTTAGCTTTTAATTTCTCCAAGATCCTATTATATTTAAAAGATTTAAAAATGTGAAATCTCTTAAGTAGAGAAGTCACTAAGTCCTTGTAGACCATAAGGATTGCCTGCTCTCCTCAGACTCATGGTTAAGTGGCATCAGTGGTCTGAACCATTCAGCTGTGTTGTTCTCTAAGGCCCAACCAACCACCAAGGTAGAGAAGGAACATATCTGTGAATCAGTGTACAGTACCTGAAATGGGAAGGTTAGTTCTGTGTCTAGGAGACATGGTGCGCAAGTTACTTGACTTCTGTCAGTGGCCATATCTTCTTCACCTATAGGACTGAGAGGATAATTCCTCTTATGCCTTTCTTCTAAAGGCATTGTGAGCATCACAGGCCTATGCTTTCTAAACATTATAAACCACTTAAAACATTCTTGACTCCATCTCTTATTGAATAAAATTTATTTTTCATTTCTCTAGACTCTATGACTTTGGGCAAGTCAACCAGTATTTCTGGGCATTAGTTTTGTCAAAGCACCTGAGTGATAACCACAGTTATTTATTGGGAGTTGAGTATGTGCCCATCATCGGGCCAATAAGGTTTGGTTAACTGTATTTATTCCTCATGAATTATTTTCATTGCCTTCACTTGATGGCTCAGGAAATGGAGCAGAGAGAGCTCGGTAACTTCCCTAGGCTCACATAGCTAGTTAGTAGCAAAGGTGGAGGTAGATGCTTCAGGTCATTAAATAAGGTAGCAAAGGTGGAGGTAGATGCTTCAGGTCATTAAATAAGGAGGGATTAAAATATTTCATGGAATTATCCTAGGTGGCGTCTAGGTTCAAAGAATGTAAAATGCAGAGAATAAAAGATCTGCTTTTTTTTTCTTTGTTTTGGCCAACTTTTTTCACCAGCCTGTATTTCCTCTCCTTTCTTTCTTATCTGTTTTGAAATTCCAATTGCTGCCTTCACTTTGGCAGGGTAGATGGGGGTGGTTAGAGTTGCCTTCCCTACTGTGCTTAAGTTCTTATTGTGTAAAGATCCTGTAACTCGCTAAATTAGCTTAAAAAGCTCTGGTTTTGTTTTCGTGCCAGCATATTACCTCACCACACTATCACTTTTTACCCTCCAAGACTTGCCATACCAAGTGGCAGTGCTCAAATCACATAAAGAGGAGCCGTTGTTGCTTGTTCGCTAGTACGTGGGTTTGTATCCCCAAACCATGTCTTTTTTACATGATACTAATTTTGTCTGGAATATTCTTATTTTTCCATACAAAAAGCAAATTCCTGCTTTTCCTTATGAAACATCAGTCAGTTCTTCTGTATACTCAACCATGACTTTCCCAGACATCTTTTTTTTTTTTTTTTCCTTTAAGTTGCCAGCATGACTTTTATGCTTAGCAATGTTTGGATTCCATGTTCCTAAACCGAATTTTCTCAGAGCAGGGATGCTGGTTTTTGCTTTCTGCATTTTCAGCATCAAACACAGTATCTAGCACGTAGTTACGCTGTTGTTTCAGCAAATGAATTACTACTTTGGTACAACAGACCCTAATTTTAATTTGAAGATTGACACAATTGTGAAGGTATACTAAAAAGTTTTCTTGAAATTTTAGATGAAATATAAGTAGTAGAGGATATTTTTTCTCCTTCCAAAAATTAAAGAGAAGAAAATCACTCAGCTTAATTTTCGTTTAACAAAAAAGAACCAAAGTGTTATGACTAACACTGTCACAGAGTATGGTGTGATTACTGATGATCAAACTTCTGTAGCAAGTTACATGTATATATAAAGACTAATACTGTTCTTCCAATTACTAAGGTAAGTTCTTAGAAGTAAAAATATTTATGTTTAGATTCCTGAAATAGTCACTAATCATGAAACTGTATTGAAGCAAACCAAATTCCTGGAACTAGACAGACTGTGATAGAATCCAGTAGGCTGATGGAGGTACTCTGCATGACAGCGGGGCAGATGGATTTGCTGAAATCCAGTGTTGCCCAACTACAAATCTGCCATAAAAGAAAAATGCAAACATGGAGACTTTTAAAATAGGAATAATTTGGACTCTCACAGAGGAACATTTTCAAGTTATGGTTTAGGTGGGCTTCTTAGAGCCATCCTAGATTCCAAGAACTAAAAGTAACTGCAGACATCAGGCAGAGATGGTCCAAGTTGTCAAGCAGAAAATAAATGCATTACTCAAAACATGCCATCTCTTCATAAGCACTCTTAGAATTTCCATGTTTAAGAATTTATTTTTTTTTCTAAGACTGGGATTCTTTATATGAAAGTATTTTTTTTTCTCCTTGGTTTTTTAAACATCTCAATACAATGGCAATTAATTCTGGAAAGTCAAAACCAGAAAGCGTTTTAGAGAGTCTTCCTTACTTTGCCATAAGGTATTTAAGATGGAAGTCTGTTTTAGTTTTTCATAGATCTTACAAGGCCCAGTCCAGTGCTTAAAACATTTTAATGTTCAATTAATTTTATTTGAGCTAAATTGGATTCATATCTACTGCTCACCACCATCCACAAGCATCATTTCAAACCTGTTTGGGAATTAAAATAAATGAATCCTGGGATGACTATGGTTTGTCTCAAGGTCAAAAGCTGTGACAGAGCTAGATTTAACATCAACAGATTCCTTCTTATTTATGTTACTAATGAGTATTAATATATATTACTGAACTTTTTGACCTTCTGTAATGAAAATTTCTGATTATAGATTTATTTTGTTATGCTAAAATATATGCAATTTTAAAGAAAAAGGACACCATCAGTGGTTGGCAGTCAGAGCCAGGGATTTTCTTGAGAGCTGATACTGAAGTATTATTGAAATGATATAATAATATATTATTGAAATAATATTTTTTTTCCATTTTCTTCCCAAAGGATGCCTATAATGCTCTGGATGACTCTCCACTCTCAGCCTTTTATATCTAGCACCTCATTCCTGAAAACTTTCATCTCTTTTCACTATTCCATGTATTCTGACAGCATCCGAAATTTACCTTACATTACTTATATCATTTTCTTGTGTATAGGAACAATTCTACTCATTAATACCACCACTGCTGCTATTGAAATTTTGGTTCTATGAATATCTCAATTATATTCCTTCTTCTTTACTTTATTATATAGCCTTTTTGTCCTGGTTTATTCCTTAGAGTTTTATGCTTTGCTTATATACAATGTACATTGCTATGTATGTCTTTAAGTTAGTGTACAGATTTTTAACTGTCTTAATTGTTTTAGAAAAATATCTAGTCTTCCAAAAGTAGATCAATATCAGTTAATTGGCTTATCTACCGAGTCCTTAGGATGATGTTGTATTTGTCTTCATAATCATTGATTTATTTGTTCCTGTTTGTCTTTGAAGGAAGGTCTGTCTATCTAGACTCAGTGTTTATTTCTCTTGACTTTGCTGGGTCTTCCAAGGTCCACACATCCACAGGTGCAGTTGCCTAGCTCCCAGCTCACTTCTCAGTGTCTAATCAAATTCCAACTGTTGCATTCCTGTAATAATTGATATTGTGTCTTTACTTATCGCTCCAATTCTTACCCCTTCAGCACTGAAAACAGATAGTGTACATGAAAAATCACATTGCACCCCCAGCAGTATCTTTTTAGGAAGATCGGTGTTGGTCATGCCCAAGACAAAACTCCTTAGTTGTAGGGACCTTATATCCCGCAATATGTGGAATCCATCACTATCTTCTTAACCCATCCTATATACGAAGATATTTTCTGCAATTTGACGTCCCTAATAGATATTGTAAGAGAGACACTATAGGGAGGAGAGGGTTGGAAAGTAAAGGTCACATACTTTAAGTAGTACCTAAGCAGCAGACAGACCGCCCATAATTATCTGATAAATGCAGCCATTTGAATTTTAGATGTAATGGACAGACAGTCAGACAATAGTACCATGGCATAGAGTTTTTTTTATTTTGGTTTTGATTATGTTTGTTTGTGTGTGCGTGTGTGTGTTGTTTTTAAACTACTTTTTGGCAACATAGCCTGGTGGTCCAAATGTTGGGATTTTTAGTTAAATTCTAGAAAATATATAGGTCACGGATGTTCTTCCCAGTGTCTTAAAGGTTGACGGTTCTAGTTTTCAGTGTAATATGATGTCTACTATATACAACTATATATGTCTTTATTAACAATCTAATAGAGCTTTTGGAGAGCATGTGACAAATACAGCTAACCAGGCACAATTTTAATATTAACTATCATATGACTTTTTACTTTTTTACGTTTTAAAGCCAACTTTTTCTACTTTCTTTATACTTTTCTAAGTGTTTCAAATTATTAAAATATGTCTTATAATTTTTAAAGATCCTAGGATTAATAAATCACTGAAACTTTAACGAGGTGCAATATCAAGGCAGTCTTTTGTTTCAGAAAATGATTACAATTATTAATGAATAACAAGCACTAATACAACTTTGTACATCTTTTTGTTATGTGTATGACTGACATTTATTTATTTGAGGTTATGGTAAAATTAAAATTCTATACTATATCTAATAAAACTAGTTTTAGTATTTGTGCAAACAGAAGTTGACATTTGATGGAGATGCAAAAGGAAAAAAATACTCATTATTCTAGGTTTTAGATTGGAATCTAAACATTTCTAATTGAAAACAGTTTAGGAATTAAAGAAACCTTGTCCTAGTTCTGCCTTCCTCTGGTGTGTGTTTAGGTTCATGTCCCTTAATCTAAGGGAAATTAGATAGCTAAAAGTCATCAGTGAATTCAGCACACCTTTATTTTAGCCTTTGCTGTAAATTAAGGTCTGTGACCATTATTGAAGGTTTACCTGAACTCCTTACAATATTAGTTTTCCATTTCTTCTTGTCCTGAGTTTGTGCTAACAAAATCATACGAAGAAAAAGAGAAGAAAGGCCGAAATTATGACAGAGAGAGAAATATAGGATAGCTTCTCTGAATAAAGCCTAAGCCTGGGGACAGGAAGTCTACAGTGTGCCATATTTCTCTCCTTTCCTTCTGGTAGCCCCTGGGGGCCATTGTGAAATCTCCAGGGAGTCCAGGAGCACAGGATAGAAACCATGACATGGGAGGTTATTGTGAGATTAAAGGATGTAATATATGTGAACTAGTA